>NC_000006.12:103404123-103555638 GCF_000001405.40 Homo sapiens | reverse complement strand
AAGATATTTTTTCCATGAGCCTTTCCTATAGAATCTACTATAGAGCAAAATTTGGATAACAAAAATGACTAGAGCAATATCTGCATAATGAATGGTGGTGAGCATTTAATATATAATTACTTGTAAAACTAGGATTAAATTGAAGTTTTAAGGGAAACATTATAGCATATAATGGCTATACATTCTAATAATGGGGGGACATTGAGAATGATTCATGCAAAACTGATTTTAAAACTAGTTATATTTTAGCTTATGTATGATCTTTTGTCTTGAACAGGTTTTTTATTATGGTAGTGTGACATGTCACTACTTTTCAGGGTTCACTGTAGTAAGTGATAAATCATTTTCTTCCTTCTAATAAGATTCATAATTTTAAGTAACTATTTAAAAGTTATTCTGATAAATAATTCTTAATAATTGAGGTAAAGACTGAATAAGCAACACTCCTTCTGTTATCCCCCAAAGGCACCAAACACACACTTTGGCCTTTAGATAATATGGATCCCAGCTCCCTTGTAGAAGTGATGAGTTGGCAATTCATTAAAAAGTGTATATTTAGCATTTCCTAAGTGACAAGCACTATTCTAGATATTGAGAATTAAGCAGAGACCAAAAACAGACCAAAATCTCAACATATATTCTCTCACTTAAATTAGTAAAATATATTCTTATATAATTTTGTATACATGTATTCTCCTATGTAAAATACACACACATAACCACATTCATGGAAAAGAAAATAAATATGAAGCAGGTAAGCCCCAGAAGGAGGAGGGTTGAATTCAGAGATAAAGCAAGAGTAGTATCTTTAAGAAAGGCTTCAGTGATTGCAAGATATATGAGCAAAGATATGAAGAAGGTAAAGTTACAAATTCTAGGGCTATCTGAAGGTCTAACGGAAGGGTGATACCAGCCAAGAAGATCAAGTGCAAAGAGCATGAGATTAGATGAGTCCTGGTATATGTGACGAAAAGGAAAGAGTGGGATGAGAAAGTGAGAGAGAATGAGATGAGGTCACACATGTAACAAAGTTTGCATGTGAGTAGTCTGAAAGAAAGCAGTCAAAGTGACTGTAAAATATGCCTCCATAACACCAAAAAAAAAAAAAAAATGAAGAGAAAGACATTGTTTGGTGAAGAAGAAGTTAGTATTTGCTTTCGTCCATGTAAGGTGTAAAGTACCTGTTAGATATTCAGGTTGAAGATGTCAAAAAAGCAGTCTGCAGCTCTGAGAATAGGTCCAGGGTGTGTGTATGTGTGTATTTGTGTGTGTGTGTATTTGTGTGTGTGTGTATTTGTGTGTGTGTGTGTGTATATGTATTATATATATATTTGTATATATGTATATGTATTAAATACATTGTATTTAAATATAATGTATATTTGTATTTAAATACATTGTATATATGTATATGTATTTGTATATATGTATACGTATTAAATATATACATATATTTGGGGTGTTAGACTGGGGGTGGTGGCTCATACCTGTAATCCCAGAATTTTTGAAGGCTGAGGCAGTAGGATCTTTGAGGCAACAAGTTTGAGACCATCCTAAGCAATACAGCGAGACTCTGTCTCTACAAAAAAAAGGGACGGCGGGGGGGCTATGAACTTATAGATGTTTTTCATAGCCACAAAACTGAAGGAGATTGTATATTGAATAAGTGAGGATAGCAAAGAGTTCTATCAGAATTTAGGCATCCCAACATTTAGAATTACAGTGGTGGAGCCAGACCAACAGAGGAGACTAAGAAGAAAGATCCAGTCTAATAGAGAATAAACAAAATAAAGTGTTTAGAGAGAATTGTAAAAACAATAAACTATGTTAAATAGGTCAAAATGATACATATCCACTTTGTTGAATTTAGCAATCTACAAGCCATAGACAATGAACAGAAAATAATAATTTCTCAGACTTTCATGATAAGGTTAAAAAATATGAGTTCATAGTCTAAGGAGCACCATTAGGCACTTGCTTTCCAAAACTCTCATAATGGGAATATTTATCTGCCTGTGACAGGCCTTTCTGTATGTACCACAATGCACGGACTATATTTAATTGTTTTGAATTTCCCCAAATTGCTCTATTTCATTTACGTGGTGTAGCAGAAATGTTCATGACCTGTCTATTTTCATCGGGTGTGAACATTTTAGTGTGAACTAGAAAACTTCCAGGTACCAGTGCCTCCATCTTTGGACTTGAGGGTTTTTCTGAAATGCGTAGATTTTTCTGCTGACACTTAAGACAGGCTAGAAGTGCCTTGGAATTAACATCCCTAAAGAGCAGAGGGAAAATAATTCTCAGTAGTAAGTTTAACTCCATTTCCCAATCTCCCTGTTAGATTAATCTCTAGCTGCCCATTATTATAACTAATTATGCAACATTTTATTTTCTATATTCCCTTTACTCTATGATTACCCCAATTTCCTACCAGAGTCTTCTCCAAATGTCAGATAAATTACTGCATTGAATCTTTGTATTTTATACTTCACAATAAATTATCTGTGCTCATAATTACAGAGCTTCTTTCTTTGATAAACAACAAGAATGACAACAAAACATAGTTGTCCATCTATTCTTATTGAAGGAGGAAGACTCATTACGAAGATCTCAACTTTTTCTCTTCATCCCCTTTAAAGCAAATCTGAGGAAAATTTTCCTTTGGGTGTCTTCCCCTCTAACCAATTACTTGAGACTTTATGAAGGAGGTGTATTCATTATTTTTATTGCTGTTGCAACAAATTCCAACAAATTTAGTGGCTTAGAACGAAACAAATTTATTGTATCACAGAATTTAGGTGAGAGTCACGTAACTGGGTCCTCTTCTTCAGGTATCACAAGACTCAAACCAAAGCATCTGCAGACCTGTGTTTCTTTCTGGAGACTTAAGGAATGAATCTGCTTCTAGCCCATTTAATTGGTTGCCTGAATTCATCTGTTAGCACTGTAGGAATGAGGTTCTTGTTTCCTTACTGGCAGTGAGCAGTGCATTGTTGTCAGCAACTGGAGAGAGTACTCATGGCCTAGGAGGAGGCTCCTTTCATCTTCCAACTCAGGAATGGAGACATGTGTTATTCTCACAGTTTCAATCTTTCTCTTACCTCATATCCTCATCTCAGTCAGAGAAAGTTCCTTGCTTTGTGGGCTTAAGTGACTAGATTGGGCCCATCTGGATTACCCAGGGTAATTTCCATATTTTAAGGTTTGAAACCTTATTTCATCTGCTAGTTCCTTTTACAGAAGTACATTTGTGTTTAATTGAATAGAGATAGGAGAGGAATCTTGGTGGGACATCATTAGAATTCTGCCTATCACAGAAGCCATACAGTTCCTTAGTACCTATAATTCTTGAACATTTTGAACTACAAGGAAGTACAGCTATGAAACCAAACTTCTAGATATAAACACCAAATTATATGTCCCTTAGGTACACCCAGAGGATGGTAGCCAGTTGTGGGCTTCTATCCTTATAAAACCTTCCATGGTGGGATGAAGCATTTCTCATTATCTTTCTTACTCCTACATTGTGATTGTTCCCACCACGATGTTCTATTGTCCCTGCATTTTTTAGTCGAATTTTGATTATGTGAGATAGATTAAACAAAAGAAAATGAATCAAAAAGACAACAGAGTATGATCCTGAGAAATATAGTGAAAACCACTAAAACTGCCAGGTGCTAATATTCTGTACAAGTTCCAATTACAGCATGAGATTCATAAGAAATAGAACTATATGAAATTGACACAATCATCTCTGGAAGCCAAGAACCCTCTTTAGTGATTTGCCATTGGTGGATTCAAGGCTGATGCTCTCGGGCCTCTAGGAGGTGACCAACTTCTGCTTTACTCTCAGGTTTATTCTAAAGAGAAATAGTTTATAATCTAATCTCTCTAAGATTTGTGTTTCCAATTTAATTAAAATATTTTAGTGGTATTCAATGTCACTGTATTACTACAGAACAACTAAAATAACTTTTTAAATTTTTATTAATGGTGGTAAAATATACATAATAAAAATTACCATTTTAACAAATTCTTAGTGTATAGTTCAGTGGCACTAAGTAAATGTAGATTGTTGTGCAATCACCACCACCACCATTTATCTCCAGACTCTTATCGTCTTCCTTACTGAAAAACGGTACTCATTAAACAATAATTCTCTCCTCCCCACAGCCCTGTGCAGCCACCATTCTATTTCCTGTCTCTATAACTACTAGAGGTACTACATGTAATTGGTATAATATAGTATTTGTCTTTTGGTTACTGGCTATTTCACTAACCATAATGTCTTCAAGATTCATCTATATTATAGCTTGTGTCAGAATTTCCTGCCTTTTGAATGATGAATAATACTCTATTATATGTATATATCACATTTTGCTTATCAATGTATCTACTGATGGACACTTGGGTTGCTTCCACCTTTTGTTTTTTTTTGTGAAAAAGGCTATTATGAACATGGGCATACAAATATCTGTTTGAGTCCCTACTTTCAATTTTTTTGAATATATAGCCAGAAATTGAATTGTTGGATCGTACGGCAAATCTGTTTAACTTTTGAGTAACAGCCATTCCATTTTCCACAGTGGTGGCCATTTTACATTGCCACCAGCAATAAACAAGGGTTCCGATTTCTCCACAATCTCACCAACACTTTCTATTTTTAAAAATCTTATTACTTGTCAGGGCGCGGTGGCTCACGCCTGTAATCCCAGCACTTTGGGAGGCCGAGGAGGGTGGATCACGAGGTCAGGAGATTGAGACCACCCTGGCTAACATGGTGAAACCCCGTCTCTACTAAAAATACAAAAAAATTAGCTGGGCGTGGTGAGCGCCTTTAGTCCCAGCTACTCGGGAGGCTGAGGCAGGAGAATGACGTGAACCCGGGAAGCGGAGCTTGCAGTGAGCCGAGATCTCGCCACTGCACTCCAGCCTGGGCGATTGAGCAAGACTCTGTCTCAAAAAAAAAAAAAAAAAAAAAAAAAAACATCTTATTTCTCTTTTGTGTGTGTGTTATTAACCATCCTAATGGGGATAAAGTGGTATCTCATTGTTTTCATTTGCATATTTTTAATGGTTAATGGTGTCAAGTGACTTTTCATGTGTTTATTGGTCATTTGGATATCTTCCTTGATGAAATTTCTATTTAAGTTTTTTTTTTTCCATTTTTAATCAGGTCGTTTTTTTTTCATTGTTGAATTGTAGGAGTTATTTATATATCTAGATATCAGTCTTTTATCAAATATGTAATTTGCATGCATTTTCTTCAATTTCTTAGGTTGTCTTTTCCCTTTGTTGATAGTTTTTTGATGCACAAACCTTTTAAATTTTAGTATAGTCCAATTTGCCTATTTTTGTTGTTGTTGTTGCCTCTACTTTGTGTCAGATACAAGAAATCATTGCCAAATCCAATACCAAGAAGTTCCCTTCTACTTTTAATAGGTTAATAGTTTTTGTTCTTTTGCTTGGGTGTTTCATTCATGTTGAGTTAATTTAAGTGTATATTATAAAGTAAGAGTCTAATTTCATTTATTTTGCATGCAGATCTTCAGTTTTCCCAAGATTGTAAAAAGCTAGCAGTCCGTTAATGGTCCTGGCACCCTTGTAGAAAATAATTTGGCCATATATGTAAGGGTTTATTCCTGAGCTTTCTTTTGTATTTCATTGTTCTCTTATGTTAATTTTAATGCCAATACCACTTTGTTTTGATTACTATGGATTTATAATAAGTTTTGAAATCAGGAAGAGTGAGCCCTCCAACCTTGTTCTTCTTTTCTAAGGTGTTTTAATTATTTGGGGTCCCTTGAGATTCTATATGATTTTAGGGTAAATATTTCTATTGCTAAAAAGTAATTGGGATTTTGACAGGAATTTCATTAATTTTGTAGCTCTCTTTGGTTAGTATTGACATGTTAATAATATTGTTTTCTAATCCATAAACACTGTGTTTTCCTTTATTTAGGATTTTTCATTTTTTTTCAGCAACATTTGATAGTTTTTACTGTAGAAGTCTTTCTCCTCTTTGGTCAAGTTTATTCCTATATATTCTATTCTTTTTGATGCTATTGTAAATTAAATTTTTTCCTTAATTTTCTTTTCAGATTGCTCATTGCAAGTATATAAAAACACAACTGATTATTACATGTTGGTTTTATTTCCTGCAATTTTGTTGAATTCATTAGTTCTAATCCATTTTAGGTGGAAATAGTTTTTTAATTTAAACTGTTTTGTTTTGTTTTGTTTTGTTTTTGAGACGGAGTCTCACTCTTTCCCCCAGGCTAGAGTGCAGTGGCGCGATCTTGGCTCACTGCAAGCTCCCCGTCCCGGGTTCACGCCATTCTCCTGCCTCAGCCTCCCGAG
This sequence comes from Homo sapiens, assembly GCF_000001405.40. NCBI lineage: Eukaryota > Metazoa > Chordata > Mammalia > Primates > Hominidae > Homo > Homo sapiens. The sequence goes on along the minus strand of NC_000006.12, from coordinate 103,549,275 downwards.
TAGCTGGGACTACAGGCGCCCGCCACCATGCCCGGCTAATTTTTTGTATTTTTAGTAAAGACTGGGTTTCACCGGGTTAGCCGGGATGGTCTCCATCTCCTGACCTCGTGATCCGCCCACCTTGGCCTCCCAAAGTGCTGGAATTACAGGCGTGAGCCACTGTGCCCGGCCTAATTTAAGGTATTTCAACCATAATGGTATACACTTATTCTCAATTAATTTTTCTCCTCCCTTCTCCCTAAGATATAATTTAAGTTCATGCAACTTATGTAATCGTTGTTTGGGGAGGAACACTAGATTCTGGTTCTTGATGTTTTTCTACTTGGAACAAAGTAGGCATCCATTGGAGCCCTATTGGAATCTTCCCCACACAGAGCTGAAAAAGTTATATTTTTGTTTGCCTTGTTTTCTTTTTGTTAGTTGTTTGTTTTGCCTGTTTATTTTTGCCACTCCTTAGGCTTATTTCAGGGAGCAGGATGCATCTGTCTTTTTCTTGAGGGCCTGTCAACTTCTTTAAACCCTTTACACCCAAGTCATTTCTGTCTCCTACAAGCTTCAGTTGTTAGGTGTTTCTTGATTCTCTACTTAATTATCACTTTTTTACCTGAGGCAATAAAAATGGACACCTATGCTTGGAAAATGCAGTGTGGGGGAGGGTGTTGGAGCAAAGAGGGAAAGGGAAAAATAGGTAGTATCTAATATTTCAAACATATCTCACTCACACTCATGCACTATGTACCCAGATGGTTAAACAAAAACTCAATTATGACAAAAAGTGTTGAACAAATGAGTATCCAAGTAAAATCTCTATTCTCTTATTTTCCCCTCTTTCCCCATGAAAATCGGCACCAGGGATGTTTGGCACCTATAGCATGTGGTAGGGGAACAGTCATAGACTGTCTCTGAACTGAGGTTGACCATGTCCAAATGTTTGTGCTCAGGAAAACCAGAGACCTTACTCAGGTCATAGATTAACTCAAGACTGGCATCCAATAAAAATGTAATGCCAGCTACATATGTAATTAGAAGTTCACTAGCAGCCACATTAACATATGTAAAAATAAACAGGTTTTAGATAGACAGATAGATAGATACATATCCATATGGTCTGGTTGTGTCCCCACCAAAATTTCATTTGTGTGTGTATATATATAGATATACATTACAGATGCAGATAAAGATTACAGATAAATATAGATATAAATATAGGTACATATATAGATATAGATTAGATATAGATATAGATATGGTTTGGCTCTGTGTCCCCACCCAAATCTAATGTTGAATTGTAATTCCCACATGTTGAAGGAGGAGCCTGGTGGAAGGTGGTTAAAACATGGGGGTGGACTTCGCCTTTGGTGTCTTATGATGGAGTTCTCATGAGATCTGGTTATTTACAAATGTGTAGTATTTCCCCATTTGCTCTCTCTCCTGCCACCATGTGAAGAAGGCATTTGATTTTTCTTTGTCTTCCACCATGATTGTAAGTTTACTGAAGCCTCTCAGTCATGGTTCCTGTTACGCCTGCAGAACTATGAGTCAGTTACACCTTGTTTCTTCATCATTTACCCAGCCTCAGATAGTTCTTTATAGCAGTGTGAGAACAAACTAATATAGAAAATTGGCACCAGGAGTAGGGCAGTACTATAAAGATACCTGAAAATGTGGAAGTGACTTTGGAACTGGGTAAGGGACAGAGGTTAAAACAGTTGGAGGGCTTGGAAGACAGGAAGATGAGGGAAAGTTTGCAATTTCCTAGAGACTTGTTAAATTATTTTGACCAAAAAGCTGATAGTGACATGGAAAAAGAGGTCTTAGCTGAGGTGGCCTCAGATGGAGATGAGGAACTTATTGGTAACTGGAGTAAAGGTCACTCTTGCTATGCTTTAGCAAAGAGACTGGTGGCTTTTTGCCTGTGCCCTAGAGTTCTGTAGAACTCTGAATTTAAGTGAGATGATTTAGGGTATCTGGTGAAAACACTGCTAAGCAGCAAAGCATTCAAGACATGACCTGGCTGTTTCTAAAAGTGTGCACTCACATGCGTAAACAAAGATTATCTGAAACCAGAACTTATATTTAAAGGGAAGCAGAGAAGAAAAGTTTGGAAAATTTGCAGCCTGACCATGTGGTAGAAAAGTAAAACTCTTTTTCTGGGGAAACATTCAAGCTGGCTGCAGAAATTTGCATAAGTAAAGAGGAGCTGAATATTAATAGCCAAGACAATGGGGAAAATGTCTCCAGGACATGTCAGAGACCTTCACAGCAGTCTCTCCCATCACAGGCCTGGAGGCCTAGAAGAGAAAAATGTTTTCATGGGCTGGGCCCAGGACTGTGCTGCTCTGTGCAGCCACAGGACATGATGCCCTATATCCTAGCCACTCTAGCTCCAGCCATGGCTAAAAGGGGCCAAGGTACAGCTCAGGCTGTTGCTTTAGAGGGTGCAAGCCCCAAGCCTTGGTGGCTTGGTGGTATTGGGCCTGCAGTGTGCAGAAGGCAAGAGTTGAGGTTTGGGAACCTCTGCCTAGATTTCAGAGGATGTATAGAAATGTCTGGATGTTTCCAGACATCCAGGAGTGCTCCATGGAGGAGCACTCATGAAGAACTACTAGGGCAGTGCAGAGGGGGAAAGTGGGGTTGGATCCCCCACACAGAGTCCCCCCTGGGGCACTGCCTAGTGGAGCTGTGAGAAGAGGGTCACCATCCTCCGGATCCCAGAATGGTAGATCCACCAACAGCTTGCACTGTGCACCTGGAACAGCTGCAAGGACTCAACACCAGCTTGTGAAAGCAGCTGCGGTGGCTGTTCCTTACAAAGCCACAGGGGCAGAGCTGCTCAAGGCCTTAGGAGCCCACCCCTTGCATCAGTGTAGCCTGAATGTGAGACAAGGAGTTAAAGGAGATTATTTTGGAGCTTTAAGATTTAATGACTGCGCTGTAGCCCCCTTTGTTGTGGCCGATTTCTCCCATTTGGAATGGGAGCATTTACCCAATTCCTGTGTGCCTATTGTATCTTGGAAGTAACTGTCATTTGCTTTGTCTCAGATGAGACTTTGACCTTGGACATTTTAGTTAATGCAGGAATGAGATAAAATTTTGGGGGCTGTTGGGAAGGCATGACTGTGTTTTGTAATGTGAGAAGGACATGAGATTTGGGAGGGGATGGGGTGGAATAATATAGTTTTCTCTGTGTTCCTACTCAAATTCTATGTCAAACTGTTATCCGCACATGTTGAAGGAGGGGCTTAGTGGGAGGTAATTAAGTCATGGATGTGGACTTCCCCCTTACTGTTCTCATGATAGAGTTCTCATGAGATCTGGTTGTTTTTGAAAGTGTGTAGCATGACCTCCTTCACTCTCTCTGTCTCCCGTCACCATGTGAAGAAGGTGCTTGCTTCTTCTTTGCCCTTCTGCCATAACTGTAACTTTCCTGAGGCCTCTCCAACCATGCTTCCTGTTAAACCTGCAGTACTGTGAATTACTAAACTTATTTTATTCATAAATTACTCAGTTTCAGGTAGTTATTTATAGAAGTGTGAGAAAAGACTAATACACCCACCCACCCACACACACACATATATTTTGAGATGAGGTCTCACTCTGTTGCTCAGGCTGGAGTGCACTGCAGCCTCAACCTTCCAAGCTCAAGTGATCCTCGTGTCTCAGCCTCCTGAGTATCTAGGACTACAGGTGTGTGCTACCACACCAGGCTTATTTTTTTTTAATTATTTTTGGTAGAGATGGGGTCTTGCTATGCTTTCCAGGCTTACCTCAAACTCTGTAAAGCATATTTTAATACAATGTCTTATTTTATTCAGCATAAGCAGACTCAATACTTTCTTGTCTTTTTCTTTTTCTGCCCACTTTTGGTTTTTCTCATGCAGAATTCCAGTTGCCACCTTCAACACATCCTTCAATACAATCCATTTACTATAATTCCTCTTTTGGAAATCAATCTTTATCTTTTAGTTACCACTTCACAATGAAAACATTCAATTCTCATCTTAACTCTTCCAAGAATAAAACTCTTTCACTTTGTGAAACATAGTCTTTTTTTTAATATATTTTTTGGGACACATGGCTCATTCATACTTGTTACTTAAGTCTATTTTGCTTTGGTTTTGTTCACTTTCTACTTATTTTTTTGTGTGTGTAAGTAGGACTTAATCAATGAATCACATGTGAAATCTTATTTATTTATTTATTTATTTTGAGATGGAGTCTTGCTCTATTGCCCAGGTTGGAGTTGAATGGCATGATCTCGGCTCACGCAACCTCTGCCTCTTGGGTTCAAGTGATTCTCATGCCTCAGCCTCCCAAGTAGCTGGAATTACAGGCATGTGCCACCATACCCAGCTAATTTTTGTATTTTTAGTAGAGACATGGTTTCACCATGTTGCCCAAGCTGGTCTGGAACCTCTGATCTCAGGTGATCCGCCCACCTCAGCCTCCCCAAATGCTGGAATTATAGGCATGAGCCATCATGCCTGGCCTGAAATGCTTTAAAAATATAACTTCTTCAATATGGTTTCTGGAGACTCTGATTTAATAATACTAATGTTCAAATCAGTTATCTATATTTAAAAAATTCAAGACTGATGTTGCCCAGGGAGGATTGAGAAACTCTAATCAAATAAAACCAATTGCACATGTACTTCTACCCTCAACATGCTCTTTTATGCCTAAAGCTTTGTTCATCCTGTTTCTTTTACCTGTAATTTCTCAAATATGACACTTTTTGTATATTTACCTAGACTTTGGTGTAGTGCCAGGATGTTTATGTAGGTCTAGAAAGTCTCAACTCCATGATTTGATACCAGCCCTTTGGTTTGTAAATCCTCAGAGTTTTTTAACCAGAAGCCAAAGGGCAAATGTCTTGTGCTAGAACATGTATGATTTCTAATTATTCAGATAAGGAGCCTATATTTATTATGTTTTTTAAAAATGTTAGTGGGAATAAATGTTATATTTTTGTTAAATAAAAATTGTTAATGCTTTTACATAGGCATGCACTTGGTGTATGTTGATTTTTGATGTCATTATATAGCTATGCCATTTGTATCTAATTTGTACTGGCTTAGAATTACATTAATATATTTACATTGGTATTTCCAGTTAAAAAATGAATTATTTCCTTTTGATATCACTGTTTAATTTTTTAATCAAAGCATGGGTTATGTACTGCAACTCTAATATAAATCTTTAGTACATGTAGCTATTATCACATTATAACTCAAGATGTGTGCCTTGAGAATTTTTTTATGATTCATTTATAATTAATGCTTAAAACATTTCCCATATAATGACGATTTAACTTTTTAAGATATTGAAATCAGTCAATATAATTTTACCTCATAATACTCAACTAGTTCTATGAAAATGCAAATTAAAGAGCAAAGTATGAGGCAAATTGAATTTGCATGCATATGGTGTATATACACAAAATGATTCAGAATATTGGATATCATTACCCAATCATTACACTCATAGACCATAATAAGGAACAAGAGTAATTTGCCACATAAAAGACATTAACAGAATGGAAATTTTTACAGACATACAATTTATATCCTAAGCCCTAACATGGCCCTGAATGCCAAAATTGATATAGGTAAGAAAATAAAGGCAAAGGAAACATTTCTTTCAGCATCTGAAGAATATCTCTATAGGGAGTAAATTTAACGAGGTTGGATATTATCTAGATTTCTTCAAAAGTACTATTTTTTTTTCGTTCTTAAACATTGGGATATCTTACCAAGTAATTCAGAAGTTAAGAACACATTTTAGAAATTAGATAGCTGAGGTTTGAATTGTGGATTTACTATTTCCAAATTATATTACCTTGCATGCGTTTCTTAAGCTTAGTCTTTGCTTTTCTTACCCAATATAAACCATAAATCGCCTATCTCATGGGAATGTTTTCAATATTAAATATTATAATCATAAATATATTAATATAATGTCTGCATATATATTATGTGTGTATATATATTTAATGAGTGTTCAGTTTGCATTACCCCTTAGTTTTTCAATAGAAACAAACAGAAACTCAGTCCTATCCCTTTTCAGATGCTTTATAAAACAACGAATTACCACCATAAAGATAAATGGCAAATTGGTTTATTTTGCATGTGATAATTCGTTGAGTTCTTGAAATTAAATGTAAGTGAGATTTTCTGTCACTATAATCTTTCAATTTAATATGTACATGCATATGTATTTGTATATGTGGTTGAATCACATATATGGTTTTTCACTTTTAATGTGTTCATTGGAATGGAAGCTGAGGTAGGAGACTCAGAAATCATAGTAGTAAGAAGAATTAGATGTTAGATATGAATATGAAAGTGATGTTTTATAGAGAGAGATGGTTTGAACAAACATTGGGATTTAGGTTTCAGTCATATTGTTACTGTTTCTACAGTAACAAAATTTTGATGAAATTCTGTGATACTATGATACTAGCTAAATGCAAACTAACTTTATATTTCCCCCAAAGCACTTTATTTTTAACCATCTAAGTAGGGATATTGAGGAGGTAGGGAGATATAAGACTGAAGTAGAAATGAGAGGCCCTGGCTAGATATTCAAATAATTTGAAGTCTTACCCTTCAAATATATGGGATAATATTTAAAAAGCACAAACCATGGGAGTGAGGACTGACAGAACAAGTCAAGCCCTGAGCACCAAGACCTCTCACATTGTGGTCACACTAAGATGAACTGACAAAAGAGATTGAGAATAAATAACGTTAGGAGAAAAAGCAGAAAAGTATGATATCCGGAAAGTGAAGTGAAGAAAGAAGAACAGGAAGAAGTGGTCAAATATGCTATGTGCTGCTGAGAGCATTAGGACAAATACCTAATGCATTCAGGGCTTAAAACCTAGATGACGGGTTGATAGGTGCGGCAAACCACCATGGCACATGTATACCTATGTAACAAACCTACATGTTCAGCATATGTATCCCAGAACTTAAAGTAAAAAAAAATAAAAAAAAAGAAACAGAAAAGCCTAATTAATGTGGTTTAAAGAGAAAACAGGAGAAGAGTTAAATTCAGTAATACAGAAACCATTGTTGAAGTATGTAAGACAAAAGATATAAATTTGAGTGCAGCTGGAAGGGGATGTGGCAGCTAAAATCGCTGTGTGATTTTCTTGCTGTTGCTTTGTATTTTGTTGGTTTGTTTTGCAGTTGATAGAAATGATGCAGCAGAAAAAGAAAAATGGATGAGTTGGGGTAACGAAAGAGGATGGCTTGAGCTATGTTTTTTCAATAGATAATAAGATGTAAGATCTATTGCACAACTGAAAGTGTTGGCCTTAAAGATGGGCATGGACAATTAATCTATATACTACAGCAGTATTCCAAGAAATAACAGAGAATATGTTTCTAGAATCTGAGAAATGCCTAGATACAGTGGAGGTAGATAATTAACATTCTTTTCTTTTTAATTTGTTTCTGTAATTTTTATTTTTTTGTAGAGATGGGCTCTCACTACATTGCCTAGGCTGGTCTTGAACTCCTGGCATCGAGAGATCCTGGCATCCCAAAAACTGGGATTACAGGCATGAGCCACCATGCCCAACCTAATATCCTTTTTAAGATGATCTCAATGTTCTAATTAGATTAAGAATCAAAGTCATCACCTGAGAATCAGAATAAGCCGGAAGGTTTTGTCTGAGGACAGAAGAAAATGTTTTATATAATAGTCTAGAACAAGAGTCAGCCAACTATAGGCCCTAGCCATATCCAGGCTGTTGCCTATTTTTGTAAATGAAGTTTTATTGGCACACAGCCATTCCCCTCCTTTGTATATTGTCTATGGCTGAGTATAGTTGTCATGACACAGAATATATGGCATATGAAAATATTCACTATCTGGTCTTTTACAGAAAAAGTTTGCTGACCCCTGGTCTAAAAACCTAAATAGAGAATGAACCAAAGTAACCAACAACAAGGTTTTTCTTTAATTCAAAGTGAGTATGGTGTGCACATTTGCAAATTTTTCTCCAAAATCATCTCTCTTTACAAGCAAATGTACCTAATAAAGGGAAAATTGAATTCAGCCAGAATTACATTTATGCAAAATAAGTACAGTAAAGAAAGAGAAAGACAAGGAGGAACCAAATGATTCACCATGTTAATACTCCATATGTGTTACATGAGAGCATACATTTGGTAGTAATTCATCAATATGTACATATACTGTTTGTATGTTCCAGCTGTAGTTCAGAAAGAAGTTAAAAATGACTAAACGTGGAGTTTAAACTGGCAAAAGAGGGCAAGGAAGAAATCACAGTGATAAGAGACTGTATGATCAATAGGTCTAGGACACAGCTGGGTTGAAATTGATTGTGTACTAAAAGAAATGTGTTGGGAAGATAGGAGGTGGAAGATAGTGTGTGTTTAGTTTTCTAAGGCTGCCAAAATAAAATACTGCAGACTGGATGGCTAAAACACCAGAAATTTATTTCCTCACAGTTATCCAGGGTAGCAGTCCAAGATCAAGTTGTCAGCAGTGTTGGTTTCATTGAGACCTCTCTCCTTCACTTGTGGATGGCTTGGATGGCTGAATTTCTCCCTCTGTTGTCACAGATCTTTCCACTGTGCACACGTCTGTGTTTAAATCTCCTCTTTTTAAAAGTACACCAGTCATAATGAATTAAGACCCACCCATAAGACTTCATTTTACCTTAGTTACCTTTGTAGAGGTCCTGTTTCCAAATATAGTCACATACATATGAGTTTGGAGGGTGGAGAGGATACAGTTCAGCCCACAACAATGCAAGATGCTTACAATTAATATTGGAGGAAAATTACTAAATAATAGCCAGGTGTAGGGCATAACTATGAAAGAAAATAGCTGAAGTAGTGTGCAGAGCAAGATTGTTGAAAAAGAAGGGTTCAAGGAATGATTCTCTTTGTGCATAATGAAATCAATGATAATTAATACAAGGGCTGTACTGGAAGAAGTGACAGTAAAAAGGAAGCCAGCACACAATTGGGAATGATCCGTGGGTGTAGAAGAAAGTACCAAATATAGTATTATGAACCAGTGAGGTGTAGTGATATGGACCATGCAATTTAATGTTGTTTGTGATAGAAAGGAAATAAAGAATAACCTGAAAGCAACAAGGGAAAGCAAAGAGGACACTTAAACCCCAACTCCAGGACCATTAATATATGAACTGTTGTTGAAAAATGGGCCACCAATTGAGAAGACTATGGTGGGAAGATTCAGGGAAGAGTCATTAGCCAAAGATTATGGGGAGAGTCAGAGAAGTGGTTGAAGATTTCATGCTGTTAAGAGATTGTGGAAGTATTATAGTAATATCGTAATATTATATGTGTGTACATACACACATATAATCAATTTGTATGTGTCAGCCAGAAAGGACACCTTCCCTAAAATCTTGCGTGTATCCCTTTTGTAATTAAGTAATATATAGTTACAGAGCTTCAAGAAGAATATCAACCATTGTGTAGTTTTACAGCTCCAGAAAATATTGAGGTAAGTTGACATATATTGACATTTTTCTATGAAAGTCTGTCGTGGCTTTTTATGTCTTCTCACTCTTCCGTTATGCTCCTATTACTTCCCATGCATGCCAACCCCCTCCTAATATGCTATCAATTGTAGATTACCTCTTCACTTTTGAAATTTCAGGGGAAAAAAAAAAGACAGTTAAAAATGAAGAACAAATGACCATATCTTAAAATGTAAACAAATTCCAAAGAAATTCAGAACTGACCTGGGCCTTCTCATAAGAAGTAAAGTTCAAAATTGTGGCAGCATATCTCATTTTGTCAAGTACTTTAACTTTTTCTTCTCTTTATTGAGTCATTTTCATATCTTGGTTGGTTGAGTTTGCTATTTGACCCGTGGGTCCTACTGAACCAAAATCAATAAATTCATAATTTAATAAAAGTGTTCTGAAAATAGCATGAGTAAAGTCAAATAGCTCATTTAAAATCAAAGCCAACTATTCCTTATACAATTTGTATAAAACACAGTAAAAAAGAGAAAAACAGAAATGAATCAAAGGAGAAAATTCAAAATTATTAAAAATTATAATTCATATTTCAGTTAAAATTTTCCTCAGGCAACAATATGGATAATATATCCATATCACATCTCTTCATAGAGGCTTTTAAGGCTATAAATTATACCTTATATAAAATTATATTATTTGAGAAGACCAAGAATATTTTCCTTTTCATTCTAATATCCTCCATTATAAAAAATGTTTATAATAGAAAATATATGTTTTAAAATTAAAATTGATAATGCATTTTAAGAGTACAATCCGTAACTTTTTAGAGTTTATTTTAAAACACAATTATTTGACATGCAATAAGGAGAAATTGGGTAAAGGCCACAAGATACAAATTCTCAACAAAATTTTAACTTCATGAGTAAATAAAGTAACTTCATTTACAAATGACGTTGTACCTTTCAACTTAGTAACTAGCACTCTAGAATTATTTTGCCCTTTGTTTATTCTCTTCACATGAATCACATGAAACTCAAATTTGCTCAATCACATGAAATTCAATTTTTGCTCAATTTTCTTCTGTTTTCATGTCTTAACAGAGAAGCAGGCAGCCTTGTGAAAGTGTAGATGTTCTCAGAATAATCATGTTCCAGAGATGTAGAGAATGGAGAATCTCAGTGGATTTGAAACATAGTCTAAAATTGGATCCGAAATTTTTTTCACACATTTTAGTCCCCTGAAGTAGAAGCTTAAAGGATTGAGAATAAATCCACTTGTCTGCTATCCTATTAAAATGGCAGCATTCCTGCTGTGCTAAAATAGATAGTATGCTTTGCTAAGCTGAAAAACTAATTCTGTTTGTTTTGTTTTAAGAAAAGCACTTGAAGTCAGGATATAGTGCTCTACTTTTATACACACGAAAATAGCATATTGCAATTAGAAGATAAAAATGTAAACAATAATTAATGGGTTTTGGTGTAAACCATATCGTATATTTCATTTATTTTTTTCTGTTTCTTGCACAAGATGTATCTGATTCATGTCTACTCTTATGTTTAGTTTCTCAATTTTATTTTTTTCTCCTCTTGAATTTTTTTTCTAGTTTTGGATGAATTTTAGCAAAAATTATAACACCTTTACTTTTAGTTTTGCCAAAATCTGTTAAAACTTAAAACTATGTATATCTGCATGCATAACTCTATCAAACTTTTTTCTGTCCTTAAGTCATCAGAAAATTATTAACCATATATATAACTAATATATATGTTATAAAGATCTGCTTGCCCTTTTTATTTCCTTAAGAGCTTTGACATGTGAATATTCTTAAATGGTATCTAAATAGAGGATGTTTACAAAAAATCTATTTATCAATAAACTTTCAGCTATTTAGAGAGGTTTTTCTCTGCCAATCAAAATAGATGGGTAGAATGAAGGCTGTGTTAACAGAAACACAGCATGCTTAATTCCTTTGCCTTGACTCTTTCTGGCCATGATTTTTACTCAGTTTACATAATAAGTTGTATAATTTATGCTGCTATAACCATTTGTCAGCCTTTTACAAGTGCATATATTTTGTCTTTTCCATTAATGCATGTAATTGAAGACAGTCTATGTGTTACTTTTTGTACCACAGAGGCATTCAATAAATAAAGCTGACTCTACATTTACATTTACATTTTAAACTTGCCTCTTAAAATAACTTCTAAATTATTTTCATTGTTAAAATTTATAATAATACCTCTTAGGTAATTACAAAATCTGAAGTTATCTGATAAGTAAAACCATGACCATGAAGGAGAGTATGCTGAGGAAAAGTCATTCCTCTGCATTACTCTCCACTATTACTAATACTGCTAATGAAGATATTTTATACCAATTAAAAATAATTTTAAACAAAACTGTGGTACTTAGAAGAAAAAAGATAATGCTTTTCTGAGACAAACCTGACTGTAGGAGTGCCTCTGGATACTGTATATTATAGTAGGTAGCTAGCTAGGCATGTGCAAGGCAGGAGAGAGTTCCTCTCACCCCACCAGCAGTGTCAGGCGACCATCAGGTGATGGTCTGGCAGTAGTTAACTGTCTCTCTAAAATAATAGTGGGTCACAGCCAGCTAGGGAAAGGTAGTCTTACTATAAATAGAAAAAAATGAGACTGGTAATCAGCAGCTTCTCAAAAAGATCTCAGGAATGAGTGAATGGGCTCACACATGCACACTAAAAGGCAAAATGGCTGAATTTAAATGGTGCATGACCTCCTAGGGACATCAGCTGGTAAGGAAGAATGCCTCAAGTGAGTATTCCTACAACTCTAGTAAACACACTGCACGTGCTCTCCTCCCAAGTGCTAACAGGCCACTGAGCATGCAGACAGCCCACCCCAAGGGAAGAATCAGGGGAAAAGGAACACAAGACCCTGGAAGTATGCCAACATACAAAACTCCATGTCAAAAGGTCAAACCGTGCAGTTGCCTTTCAAGTCACCCGCTTCGCCCTCTTCCAAGTGTACTTTATTTTCTTTTCATTCCTCTCTAAAGCTTTTTAACAAATTTTCACTCCTGCTCCTATACTTAACTTGGTCTCTTCTTCTGCCATATAACCCTCAGTCATATCCCTCAGTCATATTCTTTCTTCTAAAGGGGGAAGAATTGAGGTTGCTGCAGACCCTTGCGGATTTGCTGTCAGTAACATGTAAACACTAGTAATACCAAGTATTAGACATACGATTGAACTGCATGATTTTATGTCTTTTAGGTTTTCCTAATAATAACATTTTTGTGGTTCCAAATGTGTTTGAAATCATTTTAAGTGGATATTTCTTGTGTTTTAAGTGAAAACTTCCCCTTTATACTCTGAAGGTTTTCTTAAAACTCAACTGACGAAAAGCTGATTAATAGGAGAAAAGACACAAATTTATTGATGTGCAGAGAGAAAATCACAGAGTGATTATTCAATTACCCAGTGAGGTACAGAGGATTATGTGCTTTTCTCCAGAGGGGAGAGGGAAGATGAGAAATGCAGACATTTCTTTTGAGAGACAGTAAATCACTGGGAAGAATAAATGGATCTAGGAGGCAGAAGGCAGACATTATGGGAAGGTGATGGGTGGAGCTGCTCATGAAAAAAGATTGTTTTATTATAAAGATAAAATCCCCCAGGTAATCATGTGGAGCTACCCTTGGAAGAACAGGTAAAAAGTCTATCTGGGCATGGTGACAGACCACTGGTCTCTTCTCTTTTCTGGGGATTGATCTTTCCTGGTTATTTGGTGAGATTCCTAGGGAGGGAGAGTTAAGACAATCGCATTTAAGCTTTCTTAGTCAGATAAGGAAACTCCAGAGAGAGTCCCCACTGACGCTTTTGGAAAGAGGATCAGAAAAACAGAGGGAAGAGGGAAAAATCAGAGAGAAACCATGGTTCTGAGACTTATTTCTGAGGCCTTTCTATTTTCAAAGCACTTAGCATGCTGAAGCGCCATATTCTGGGGAAAAGTTTTCTGTAGCCCTGTAATTCCTACCTATAGAATCTGATACCTATAGGGATTTATCATAACTGCTTGTTTTCCAGTGTTTCTGGAACCTAAGTAATACTCACAAGCCAAATGTCAATCTTACAATATGTTTATGACACATAGTATATAAATAATGTACACAATATATTATCTATAAAATCATTTAAATTTTACAAATATAGTAAAAATATTGAAAAGTCTTCTCTGAACTAATGACTTCTCTTGGGTCATGTAAAAAATATTTTATTAACAATTCTTTTTATGTTTAGATATTTTTGTGAACCCTGCAACCTGAGTCAATTATATAAATAGCAGTAATTTCTTGGGTATGGAAACTTCTGAATATAGGTAAACGTAGGTAAACGTAGTCACGCCAGAAATCAACTATATGTCATATTCACTTATTCTATGTCATCCAAATACTTCACTCAAGAGTCAGAAAGGATACAATTACTCCATATAGTTAAACTTAAGTGAAGGAAAGTTATAGCCACCTGAGAGATAATGTCTCCTCACTTCTGACCCCACCAACTGAAAATGTATCTCCAAGAGTAAACAGACATAAATTATAGTTGGTACACGGCAGAGGCACCTGACAACTATAACTGAAGCATACCCTGAGAATGACCCTATGGTCTAAGAAGAATGTGTGTTTGGAGTCCTGAGCTAAGGGATCCAGGAGTAGACAACCCAGAGTTTCACTCCTTGTCTATGAAGGACATCTGAATCCCCAGCCATTCCCTTGGAATGCAGGCCATACAAGGGATCCAGGCCCTTTGTTTTGCGTTAAATGGAGATTGCTAGGTGAAGGTTGCTAGGTGGAGGGTGCTAAGTGAAATTGCTATATAAACTGCATGTGTTTTACAAATGGTGGTGGTTCTCTGGTACAGTCTGCTCCTCCTGGATTGTCCCTGTATGTAAGTTCCTTCAATAAATCCTATGTCTCTTTTGCTATCTCCAGTTTCCTTTTTCAGCCTCCAGGGCACACTGTCATCCTTAGTGGAGTCAATAGGGGTCTGGCACAACAATTAGTTAGAGTGGGATTAAATGTGGAGCAGTTTTGTTTCAGGGTGAGACATGGCTCAAAAACTTTGCGCTTTAGAGAGGGGAAGGGGAGGTCTAGTTTGGAATGGAGTATGGGGAAACTGACTAGGTTGTTTTAATGGTGCCAGAGGGGGACAGGCAGTGAAGGTCTACAAAAGATATTCTTCAGATGGTGTGAAGAAAATCAAAACATTTTACCCCAAAATACATTTCTATGACACATTTTTGAAATGGTTGCCACAGGGTCAGCAGACTGAATTGGTCCTGCAAAGATGTCTTTTGTAGGGGAAATTGGCGTCTGTGAAGATGCCCCACTAACCAGGCCTTCCCTTTCAAGGCTTGTCCTGGATCTAGGGGAGATTAACTGAGAGTCTGATACCTTTAAAAGTCTGAAAAGAAACATTTACCATCTATTCTCTCTGAGGTCTACTACCTGTGAGGCTTCATTTACATAACAAGGCCTTCTTTACTAGCCATGACTGTTCCTCTCTCCCTGTCATAAACTGTTTTATCTGGATCCAAGCCCCCATTCTTTCTGTAACCTCAAGATGGTATTTAAGCTTTTGTAATCTCATTGAGAGGTTTGGTCTTTATTCTGAAGGCCCCAGTGTATAGACATGAAATAAAGGTGTATGCTTTTACTCCTGTTAATCAACCTGACTTATGTCAATGATTTTTCAGTGAACCTTTAAGGAGCCAAAGGCCTTGGCCCCCACACTGACATAGAAGAGGTACGAAAAGCTTGCTATTGCCCAGATGTTTCAGGAATTATCTGAAAATATTTTAAAAAGTGAAGCAGAGTGTTGTTGCCCTAAAAAGAATAAGTTGAGAACAAATTAATATAAGTAGAGAGTTTATTTGGGCCACGCTTGAGGATGGCAACTCAGGAGCATAGATTCAAGTTGCCCTAAATATCCACTTTGGTTAACAGAAGTTACAAGTGGATTTTGAAAGGAAAAGAAGAGGCAGTTTCTGAGTTATTTACCTATAATTTACATTAAAATAACATAAGCTGTTGATTGGTTGTACATTGTTTTTTGTATCATACATTCCAGGAATATGAAGATAATAGGTTAGGCATCTGGTTAGAAACAAAATGCCTTTAAACAGTTACCCCCAGGCATGAGTTGGTGGGGGGAGAATATGACTGAAGTCCGATACCTCAGTTCTCTCTGGGCCTGATAAATTTTGCATACCTCATATAATTCAGACTGTTTCCAGCTATTTTTCTTTTCTCAGTATATAGGCTATTTCTGGGGAAACAGCTTGTTCAGAATTGTGGAGAGTTTAAGGAATGCAACTCAGACTGCTTGGGGAAGTGCCTTTTAAATGCTAGCATGAGCTTAGAGACCCAAGAAGGTAACTGGAGTTCAGGGCAGAGCAATTAAACTAAATAACAGGAATACTAATTAAAACAAACAAAATAGAGAAGCGAAGGCAAGTAGCATCAGTTATTTCTCCAATTCCTGGAAGTGTTGTTTAAAGACATCTGTTTGGCTACCATTCCTTTATAATGAGGGTTTCTAAGGTAGAGTAGATAGAAAACAAATTCAGAACTTCCTTTTGCTCCCAACTTAGTAAACTCAATGCAGTAACACGTCTGGAGCAACCAGAAATAACGCCCATCATCAAAGACTTGACGGATGAAGCAGTGGTGATCTTATCACATACCCATTTTACTAATTTTTTTTTTAATTCATGTCAACCTAAAAAAAATGAAAAGAATCAGAATCCAGTTTTAAAGAGTTTATTCAAACAAAAAGCTGAGAATAGCTATCCGGGAAATACAGACTCCAGAGAAATGGGGTTAGTGCTTCTAAGTTAAAAGTTAAAGTCTTGCTTATATAGGTAGGAAACAAAGAAATTTAGTAGAATTATAGCATTTTCTAGACAAGGCTGTTTTATGAGTAACAATTTAATTAGTTTTCTTTTTCATACAGATCATTTTAATTTCCATTCCAACTAAAAAGTATATTTAACATTTCATCCCAGACAGTGTTATAGTCATGAAGTCTTCGTGTGAGATAGGAAGAAGGGAAGTTAATCTATAAAGAACATCAACAGTTAAAAGGAAAGAGGCTTGCTCTGTCACATTTTAGTCATGTATAACATTCTACAAAACAATGTAGGTAAGGAAAAAGTCTAATCTATAATCAGAGAAACAAAGGTTACAGCTTCCTAGGTTATAGCTTCATGTTTATGTGATTCAGCTCCCATAGTAACACTTCCTTAATGCTCAAAATATTTTACAGTTCCAAAAGCTTATATTTTGAATTACTTATTTTCATTTTCAAAAGGCAAATAGGTCCTGGAAAATGACAAGGCATTTTTCATTAATTCAACACCATACATTAAGCACCAATATGCAAATAACAGTTTTCTGGGATATAGAAATAAAAAAAGCAAAGGCATATTAAAAGCCAATATTATACAAATAAGTAATTTGTAGAGAAGAAGGTAATAAGTGCTATGAAATAAATGAGAATTAGATGGACTTGGGATTGGAGGCTGGGATTGGAAAGGCTAAGGAAAGGATTGGTTTACAATTTTTTAAAGAGTTGATAGATCACAAAATGGTGTTTTAAAGGTTTCTTTTATAATATAAAATTGATATAAAATCCTATTAGAACATTTAGAATACACAGAAAAAAAGAATAAAAGTAAAATTACATTTTGTTCAGATGCCCAAAGGCAAATATTTCATGTTCTTCTCTGATTTTCTCTCCCCTCTTTTTTTTGGTTTTACTTTGGAAGATACAATGTATATTATAATTTCTACAAATTCTCTACAAATATTTATTATTGTACTTTCAACATTACAGATTGATTTTTATTTTTTCTCTTATCAAACAAAAATAAAACAAAGGAAATTATAATAATAACCCAAACATTTTATTTTAAATCTACTCTTTTTTCCCCAACAGTACAGACTTACAGTTCTAGTCCTCAGAGGTCATCATTATTATCAGTTTCTTATATTTCTGTCTCAGTATGTTTTCTGCTGCTATAATACAATACTGAAATTGGGTAATTTATAATGAAGAAAAATTTATATTCCCACAGTTCTGGAGGTTGTGAAGTCCAAGAGTAAGATGTTGGCATCTGCTGAGACTTTTTGGTGCATCATCACATGGAGAAAAACAAAAATGCAAAAAGGCAAAAAACAGCAAAACTTGCTCTTTTGTAATGGTTCTAATCCTACGCATGGGGTCAGAGTCTTCATGGCATTATTATTATTTCCCAAAGTCCCACCTCCTAACACTGCCACAGCAGCAATCAAATTTTAACATGAGTTTTGGAGGGGATAATTATTCAAACCACAGCAAAATCCTTCCAGAATATTTTGTTCACACTCAGCCATATATTGGTATATTTTATACGTTTTAAAATTTTATATTTATAAAATATATAAAATAATATATAGTCATAGAAAAATAAATAATATATATATTTCTATTTCCTCCTCCACTCAGTCCCTAGTAACCAGTATTCCACTATCTGATTTTATGAATTTAACTGTTTTAGATTTTTTATACAAGTGAGATTATGCAGTATTTGTCCTATGTTCTATAGATGCACGCAATATTTCCCTCTTTTTTTAAGGCTGAACATTATTTTATTTTGTGTATATATAACGCATTTTCTTTATCCACTTATCCACTGATAAACATTTAAGTTGTTTCTATATCTTGGCTATTGTAAATAATGCTGCAATGAACATGGGATTGAACATATCTTTTTGAGATTTGATTTCAACTCCTTTGGATATATACTCAGAATTGGGATTGCAGGTAATTTTATTTTTAATTTTTTGAGGAACCTGCATGCTACTTTTTACAGTAACTGTTAATATACCAATTTACATTTTCAGCAATAGTGTACAAGGTTTCTCTCTCTTCTTCACATCCTCAACAACAACTTTTATCTTATTTTTTGATAATAGCTGTTCTAACAGGTGTGAGGTGATATTTTATTGTGGTTTTGATTTGCATGTCCCTGATGATTAGGGATTTTGAGCACATTTTCACTAAGTCATTAAAACATTTAATGAGTCCCATTTTATCTTTTCTTATTTTTTATACTTTATTAAAATATATTTTTCATGCATTTTATGCTTTATTAAAGAAATGAGATTCTCCATATTAATTGTAAGAAGCAGTATTAGCAGATGGAGTGCCCCACACATATATATATATTTTTTATTTTGGTTGAATTAACATCATGTAGTTTAACATACTATTTCCTTGTCTTTATTTTTGTTAAATTGATCTTTGCTTCTAAGGACTTGATGATGTGTAGGTTCAATTCTTTTTGGCAAAAGTCCTTGATAGAGGGTGTTGTGTATTTCTATTATGATTTTTGCTCTCCTTCATTCTGTGATATTAGCAGTTGATATTAAATGCCTAGATCCATTATTTTATTAGGTATTGAAAATATTATTTTAATCCTATCCCTTTTTATCATTTATGAGTCGAAGTGTTTTTGTAATGAGATACAGCCCCCATTTCTTATTCTGGTTATATAGGTATACAGTTTCTTTTTTTTAATATACCTTAAGTTCTGGAGTACATGTGCAGAATGTGCAGGTTTGTTACATAGGTATACATGTGCCATGATGGTTTGCTGCACCCATCAATCCGTCATCTACATTAGGTATTTCTCCAAATGCTATCCCTCCCCTAGCCCCCCACCCCCCAACAGGCCCCCGTGTGTGATGTTCCCCTCCTTGTGTCCATGTGTTCTCATTGTTCAACCCCCACTTATGAGTGAGAACATGTGGTGTTTGGTTTTCTATTCCTGTGTTAGTTTGCTGAGAATGATGATTTCCAGCTCCATCCATGTCCCAGTAAAGGACATGAACTCATTTTTTTTATAGCTGCATAGTATTCCATGGTGTATATGTGCCACATTTTCTTTATCCAGTCTATCATTGATAGGCGTTTGGGTTGGTTCCAAGTCTTTGCTATTGAGAACAGTGCTGCAATAAACGTATGTGTGCATGTGTCTTTATAGTAGAATGATTTATAATCCTTTGGGTATAAACCCAGTAATGGGATTGCTGGGTCAAATGGTATTTCTAATTCTAGATCCTTGAGGAATCGCCACACTGTCTTCCACAATGGTTGAACTAATTTAAACTCCCACAAACAGTGTAAAAGCATTCCTATTTCTCCACATGCTCTCCAGCATCTGTTTCCTGACTTTTTAATGATCGCCATTCTAACTGGCGTGAAATGGTATCTCACTATGGCTTTGATTTGCATTTCTCCAGTGACCAGTGATGATGAGCTTCCTTTCATATGTTTGTTGGCTGCATAAATGTCTTCTTTCGAGAATTGTCTGGTCATATCCTTCGCCCACTTTTTGATGGGTTTGTTTGTTTTAATTTTGTAAATTTGTTTAAGTTCTTTATAGATTCTGGATATTAGCCTTTTGTCACATGGATAGATGGCAAAAATTTTCTCCCATTCTGTAGGTTGCCTCATCCCTCTGATGATAGTTTCTTTTGCTGTGAAGAAGCTCTTTAGTTTAATTAGATCCCATTTGTCAATTTTGGCTTTTGTTGCCATTGCTTTTGGTCTTTTATTCATGGTCTTGGCCCATGCCTAAGTCCTGAATGGTATTGCCTAGATTTCCTTCTAGGGTGTTTATGGTGTTAGGTCTTACATTTAAGTCTTTAATCCATCTTGAGTTACTTTTTGTATAAAGTGTAAGGAAGGGATCCAGTTTCAGCTTTCTACATATGGCTAGCCAGTTTTCCCAACACCATTTATTAAATAGGGTATCCATTCCCCATTTCTTGTTTTTGTCAGATTTGTCAAAGATCAGAAGGTTGTAGATTTTTGGCATTATTTCTGAGGCCTCTGTTCTGTTGCATTGGTCTATATGTCTGTTTTAGTACCAGTACCATGCTATTTTGGTTACTGTTGCCTTTTAGTATCATTTGAAGTCAAGTAGCATGATACCTCCAGCTTTGTTCTTTTTGCTTTGGATTGTCTCAGATATGCGGGTGCTTTTTTGATTCCATGTGAAAATTCAAGTAGTTTTTTCCAATTCCATGAAGAAAAAGTCAATGCTAGCTTGATTGGGATAGCATTGAATCTATAAATAACTTTGAGCAGTATGGCCATTTTCACGATATTGATTGTTCTTATCCATGAGCATGAAATTTTTTCCATGTGTTTGTGTCCTCTCTTATTTCCTTGAACAGTGGTTTGTAGTTCTCCTTGAACAGTTCCTTCACACCCCTTGTAAATTGTATTCGTAGGTACTTTATTCTCTTTGTAGCAATTGTGAATGGGAGTTCACTCATGATTTTCTCTGTTATTGGTGTATAAGAATGCTTTTGATTTTTTTTTTAATTATACTTTAAGCTAGGGTACATGTGCACAACGTGCAGGTTTGTTACGTACGTATACATGTGTCATGTTGGTGTGCTGCACCCATTAACTCGTCATTTACATTAGATATATCTCCTAATGCTATCCATCCCCCATCCCCCCACCCCACAGCAGGCCCCGGTATGCAATGTTTCCCACCCTTTGTCCAAGTGTTCTCATTGTTCAATTCCCACATGCAAGGAAGAACATGCCCACATGCAAGGAAGAACATGCCGTGTTTGGTTTCCTGTCCTTGCAATAGTTTGCTCAGAATGATGGTTTTCAGCTTTATCCATGTCCCTACAAAGGACATGAACTCATCTTTTTGTTTTTTTGAGATGGAGTCTCGCTCTGTTGCCCAGGCTGGAGTGCAGTGGCGCTATCTCAGCTCACTGCAAGCTCCTCCTGGGTTGACGCCATTCTCCTGCCTCAGCCTCCCGAGTAGCTGGGACTACAGGCACCTGCCACCATGCCTGGCTAATTTTTTTGTTTTTTTTTTTTTAGTAGAGACGGGGTTTCACCATGTTAGCCAGGATGGTCTCGATCTCCTGACCTTGTGATCCTCCTGCCTCAACCTCCCAAAGTGTTGGGATTACAGGCGTGAGCCACTGCGCCTGGCCGAACTCATCCTTTTTTATGGCTGCATAGTATTCCATGGTGTATATGTGCCACCTTTTCTTAATCTAGTCTATCATTTATGGACATTTGGGTTAGTTCCAAGTCTTTGCTATTGTGAATAGTGTCACAATAAACATACGTGTGCATGTGTCTTTATAGTAGAATGATTTATAATCCTTTGGGTATATACCCAGTAATGGGATCACTGGGTCAAATGGTATTTCTAGTTCTAGATCCTTGAGGAATCGCCACACTGTCTTCCACAATGGTTAAACTAGTTTATGCTCCCACCAACAGTGTAAAACTGTTCCTATTTCTCCACATCCTCTCCAGCACCTGTTGTTTCCTGACTTTTTAATGATCGCCATTCTAACTGGTGTGAGATGGTATCTCATTGTGGTTTTGATTTGCATTTCTCTGATGACCAGGATGATAAGCATTTTTTCATGTGTCTGTTGGCTGCATAAATGTCTTCTTTTGAAAAGTGTTTGTTCATATCCTTTGCCCACTTTTTGATGGGGTTGTTTGATTTTTTCTTGTAAATTTGTTTAAGTCCTTTGTATATTCTGGATATTAGCTCTTTGTTAGATGGGTAGATTGCAAAAATTTTCTCCCATTTTGTAGGTTGCCTGTTCACTCTGATAGTAGTTTCTTTTGCTGTGAAGAAGCTCTTTAGTTTAATTAGATCCCATTTGTCAATTTTGGCTTTTGTTGCCATTGCTTTTGGTGTTTTAGTCATAAAATCCTTGCTCATGCCTACCTCCTGAATGGTGTTGCCTAGGTTTTCTTCTAGGGTGTTTATGGTTTTAGGTCTAACATTTAATTCTTTAATGCATCTTGAATTAATTTTTATATAAGGTGTAAGGAAGGGATCCAGTTTCAGCTTTCTACATATGGCTAGCCAGTTTTCCCAGCACCATTTATTAAATAGGGAATCCTTTCCCCATTTCTTGTTTTTGTCACGTTTGTCAAAGATCAGATAGTTGTAGATGTTTGGTGTTATTTCTGAGGCCTCTGTTCTGTTCCATTGGTCCGTATCTCTGTTTTGGTACCAGTACCATGCTGTTTTGGTTACTGTGGCCTTGTGATATAGTTTGAAATCAGGTAGCATGATGTCTCCAGCTTTGCTCTTTTTGCTTAGGATTTTCTTGGCAATGTGGGCTCTTTTTTGGTTCCATATGAACTTAAAATTAGTTTTTTTCCAATTCTGTGAAGTAAGTCTTTGGTAGTTTGATGAGGATGGCACTGAATCTGTAAATTACCTTGGGCAGTATGGCCATTTTCACTATATTGATTCTTCCTAACTGTGAGCATGGAATGTTCTTCCCTTTGTTTGTATCCTCTTTTATTTTGTTGAGCAGTGGTTTGTAGTACTCCTTGAAGAGGTCCTTCACATCCCTTGTAAGTTGGATTCCTAGGTATTTTAATTCTCTTTGAAGCAATCGTGAATGGGGATTCACTCATGATTTGGCTCTCTGTTTGTCTGTTGTTGTATAAGAATACTTGTGATTTTCATACATTGGTTTTGTGTCCTTAGACTTTGCTGAAGTTGCTTATCAGCTTAAGGAGATTTTGGGCTGAGACAATGGGGTTTTCTAAATATACAATCATGTCATCTGCCAACAGAGACAATTTGACGTCCTCTTTTCCTAATTGAATACCATTTACTTTTTTATCTTGCCTGATTGCTCTGGCCAGAACTTCCAATACTATGTTCAATAGGAGTGGTGAGAGAGGGCATCCTTGTTGTGTGCTGGTTTTCAAAGGGAATGCTTCCAGCTTTTGCCCATTCAGTATGATATTGGCTGTGGGTTTGTCATAAATATCTCTTATTATTTTGAGATACATTCTATCAATACTAGTTTATTGAGAGTTTTTAGCATGAAGGAGTGTTGAATTTTGTTGAAGGCCTTTTCTGCATCTACTGAGATAATCATGTGGTTTTGGTCATTGATTCTCTTTATGTGATGGATTCCATTTATTGATTTGCATATGTTGAACCAGTCTTGCCTCCCCAGGATGAAGCCGACTTGATTGTGGTGGATAAGCTTTTTGATGTTCTGCTGGATTCAGTTTGCCAGTATTTTATTGAGGATTTTTGCATCAATGTTTATCAGGGTTATTGGCCTGAAATTTTCTTTTTTTGTTGTGTTTCTGCCAGGTTTTGGTATTACGATGGTGCTGACCTCATAAAATGAGTTAGGGAGGAATCTCTCTTTTTCTATCGTTTGGAATAGCTTCAGAAGGAATGGTACCAGCTCCTCTTTGTACCTCTGGTAGAATTTGGCTGTGATTCTGTCTGGTCCTGGACTTGCTTTGGTTGGTAGGCTATTAATTGCTGCCTCAATCTCAGAACTTGTTATTGGTCTACTTAGGGATGCAACGTCTTCCTGGTTTAGTCTTGGGAGGGTGTATGTGTCTAGCAACTTATCCATTTCTTCCAGATTTTCTAGTTTATTTGCGTAGAGGTGTTTATAGTATTCTCTGACGGTAGTTTGTATTTCTGTGGGATTGGAGGTGATATCCTCTTCATTGCTTTTTATTGCATCTATTTGATTCTTCTCTCTTTTCTTCATTATTAGTCTTGCTAGTGGTCTGTCTATTTTGTTGATCTTTTCAAAAAAACAGCTCCTGGATTCATTGATTTTTGAAGGGTTTTTTGTGTCTCTATTCCCTTCAGTTCTGTTCTGATCTTAGTTATTTCTTGCCTTCTGCTAGCTTTTGAATTTGTTTGCTCTTGCTTCTCTAGTTATTTAAAATGTGATGTTAGGGTGTTGATTTGAAATCTTTCCTGCTTTCTCTTGTGGGCATTTAGTGCTATAAATTTCCCTCTACCCATTGCTTTAAATGTGTCCCGGAGATTTTGGTACATTGGTTCTTTGTTCTCATTGGTTTCAAAGAACATCTTTATTTCTGCCTTCATTTCATTATTTACCCAGTAGTCATTCAGGAGTAGGTTTTTTTGTTTCCATGTGGTTGTGCGGTACTGAGTGTGTTTCTTAATCCTGAGTTCTAATTTGATTGCATTGTGGTCTGAGAGACTGTTTGTTATTATTTCCATTCTTTTGCATTTGCTGAAGAGTGCTTTACTTCCAATTATGTGCTCAATTTTATAATAAATGCAATGCGGTGCTGAGAAGAATGTACATTCTGTTGATTTGGAGTG
Organism: Homo sapiens; assembly: GCF_000001405.40. Taxonomy (NCBI): domain Eukaryota; kingdom Metazoa; phylum Chordata; class Mammalia; order Primates; family Hominidae; genus Homo; species Homo sapiens. Next base: position 103,524,561 of record NC_000006.12, on the reverse strand, counting down.
GTGAGTTCTGTAGATGTCTATTAGGTCCACTTGGTCCAGAGCTGAGTTCAAGCCCTGGATATCCTGGTTAATTTTCTGTCTCATTGATCTGTCTAATATTGACAATTAAGTCTGCCACTAGTATTGTGTGAGAGTCTATGTCTTTTTGTTGGTCTCTAAGTACTTGAATCTGGGTGCTCCTATATTCAGTGCATATATATTTAGGATAGTTAGCTCTTCTTGTTTCACTGATCCTTTTAGGATTATGTAATGCCCTTCTTTGTCTCTTTTGATCTGTTAGTTTAAAGTCTGTTTTATCAGAGACTAGGAGTACAACTCCTGCTTTTTTTTTTTTTTTTGCTTTCTATTTGCTTGGTAAATATTCCTCCATCCCTTTATTTTGAGCCTATGTGTGTCTTTGCACGTGAGATGGGTCTCCTGAAGAGAGCACACCAATGGGTCTTGACTCTTTATCCAATTTGCCAGTCTGTGTCTTTTAATTGGGACATTTAGCCCATTTACATTTAAGGTTAATATTGTTATGTGTGAATTTAATCCTGCCATTATGATGCTAGCTGGTTATTTTGCCTGTTAGTTAATGCAGTTTCTTCATAGCATCAATGGTCTTTACAATTTGGTATGTTTTTGCAACGGTTGGTACCGGTTGAGCCTTTCCATGTTTAGTGCTTCCTTCAGGAGCTCTTGTAAGGTAGGCTTGGTGGTGACAAAATCTCTCAGCATTTGCTTGTCTGTAAAGGATTTTCTTTGTCCATAGCTTATGAAGCTTAATTTGGCTGGATATGAAATTCTGGGTTGAAAATTCTTTTCTTTAATAATGTTGAATATTGGCCCCCACTCTCCTCTGGCTTGTAGGCTTTCTGCTGACAGAACTGCTGTTAGTCTGATGGGCTTCCCTTTGTGGGTATCCCAACCTTTCTCTCTGGCTGCGCTTAATATTTTTTCCCTCATTTCAACTTTGGTGAATCTGACGATTATGTGTCTTGGGGTTGCTCTTTTCAAAGAGTATCTTTGTGGTGTTCTCTGTATTTCCTGAATTTGAATGTTGGCCTGCCTTGCAAAGATTGGGGAAGTTCTTCTGAATAACATTCTGAAGAGTGTTTTCCAACTTGGTTCCGTTCTCCCTGTCACTTTCAGATACACCAATTAAATGTAGATTTGATCTTTTCACATAGTCTCATATTTCTTGGAGGCTTTGTTCATTTCCTTTCACTCTTTTTTCTGTAATCGTTCTTCTCATTTTATTTCATTGAGATGATCTTCAACCTCTGATATCCTTTCTTCTACTTGATCAATTTGGGTATTGATACTTTTATGTACTTCACAACATTTTCGTGCTGTGTTTTTCAGCTCCATCAGGTCATTTATGTTGCTCTCTAAACCAGTTATTCTAGTTAGCAATTTGTCTAACCTTTTTTGCAATGTTCTTAGCTTCCTTGCATTGGGTTACAACATATTCCTTTAGCTCGGAGGAGTTTTTTATTACCTACCTTCTGAAGCCTACTTCTGTCAATTCATCAAACTCATTCTCTGTCCAGTTTTTTTCCCTTGCTGGCAAGGGGTTGTGATCCTTTGGAGGGGAAGAGGCATTCTGGTTTTGGAATTTTCAGCATTTTTACGCTGGTTTTTCCTCATCTTCATGGCTTTATCTACCTTTGGTCTTTGATGTTGCTAACATTTGGATGGGGTTTCTGTGTGGATGTCCTTTTTGTTGATGTTGATGCTATTCCTTTATGTTGGTTTTCCTTCTAACAGTCAAGCCCCTCAGCTGCAGGTCTTCTGGAGTTTGCTGGAGGTCCACTCCAGACTCTGTTTGCCTGGGTATCACTGGCAGAGGGTGCAGAACAGCAAAGATTGCTGCCTGTTCCTTCCTCTGGAATCTTTGTCCCAGAGGGGCACCTGCCAGATGCCAACCAAAGCTCTCCTGTATGAGGTGTCCGCTGGCCCCTACTGGGGCATATCTCCCAGTCAGGATACATGGGGGTTAGGGACCCACTTGAAGAGGCAGTCTGTCCCTTATCAGAGCTTGAACACTGTGCTGGGAGATCCGCTGCTCTCTTCAGAGATTCTAGGCAGGGATGTTTAAGTCTGCTGAAGCTGGGCCCCCAACCGCCCGCCCCCAGGTGCTCTGTCCCAGGGAGGTGGGGATTTTATCTATCAGTCCCTGACTGGGGCTGCTGCCTTTTCTTCAGAGATGCCCTGTCCAGAGAGGAGGGAACCGGGAGAGGCAGTCAGGCTGCAGTGGCCTTGATGAGCTGTAGTGGGCTCTGACCAGTTCGAACTTCCTGGCGGCTTTGTTTACACTGTGAGGGTAGAACTGCCTACTCAAGCCTCAGCAATGGCGGAAGCCCCTCCCCTCACCAAGTTCAAGAGTCCCAGGTTGAGCCAAGCTCAAGCGTCCCAGGTCAAGCTCAGACTGCTGTGATAGCAGCGAGAATTTCAAGCCAGTGGATTTTAGCTTCCGGGCTGTATGGGGGTGGGACCTACCGAGCCAGACCACTTGGCTCCCTGGCTTCAGCCCCCTTTCCAGGGGAGTGAATGGTTCTGTCTTGCTGGTGTTTTGGGCGCCACTGGGGTATTGAAACAAAACAAAACAAATCAAAACAAAACTCCTGTGGCTAGCTCAGTGTCTGCCCAAACGGCCACCCAGTTTTGTGCTGGAAACCAGGGCCCTGGTGGCATGGGCACCAGAGTGAATCTCCTGGTCTGCAGGTTGTGAAGACATTGGGAAAAGCGCAGTACCTTGGCTGAAGTGCATGGTACAGTCCCTAAAGGCTTCCCTTGGATAGGCGAGGGAGTTCCCCAACCCCTTGGGCTTCCAGGTGAGGCAATGCCCCACCCTGCTTTGGATCCCCCTCCTTGGGCTGCACCCACTGTCCAATCAGTCCCAATGAGATGAACCAGGTACCTCAGTTGGAAATGCAGAAATCACCTGCCTTCTGAGTTGCTCTCACTGGGAGCTGCAGACCAGAGCTGTTCCTATTTGGCCATCTTGCCAGCAATCAATCTATATAGGTGTACAGTCTTTAAAAGAAAAGATCTTTTTATTTACAATTTTTTTTTCTGAGACAGAGTCTCGCTCTGTAGTCCAGGCTGGAGTGCTGCAGTGGCATGATCTCGCCTCACTGCGACCTCTGACTCCCGTGTCCCGGTTTAAGCAATTCTCCTGCTTCAGTCTCTGAGTAGCTGGGATTATAGGCACGCACCACCATGCCCAACTAATTTTTGCATTTTTAGTAGCGCCAAGGTCTTGCCATGTTGGCCAGGCTGGTCTCGAACTCCTGGCCTCAGGTGATCCACCTGCCTCGGCCTCCAAAAGTGCTGGGATTACAGGCGTAAGCCACCACGCCTGGCCTTTTTATTTACAAATTTTAAAAACAATTAGCTATTTTTCTTGAATCCTCCAACATTGACCAATTGGTTGATGTTGCTTTTAGAATTATTACGACTAAAACTGTTAAACATATTTAATGTATTTGATCCATGACACTTACTCTTTTTTGATGCTCCAGTAGTACTATCTTTGATCAGTGGGAGCCTCTTCAAGTTGACTTCTTGAACTTTTGACGTGACTCTAGGAGTTTTTTTTTTTTTTTTTTGGTTTCCCTGCTATCTAATACAACGACTTTTTTTTCATGTTTATCTGGTACATATTATGATGTAGATCTAAAATCAGCCATTTCTCTAAGGAACCTTGATTTCATATAGTAGAATGTTGTTTCTATAGGCCACAACCTGAGAGCTAGGGTGATTATTGCTCCTTTTTAATGTTTTCCTAAGCCTTCTCAATGCACAAAGCTAATACTTCTAACATTTAAAATAAATATAGTTGCTATATATATATATATATATATATATATATATACACACAAAATGTACAAATCATAAGAGTTATAGCTTAGTGAATTTAAACAAACTGATTATGACTAAGTGACTAGCACATATATCAAGAAGCCAAATGCTGTTAGCAACACAGAAGTCTTAATTGGGTAATTACCAGTCAGAAACTTCCCCACAAGGGAAGCACTACCTGAGTTGTAACATCATAGATTAGCATTTTGTGTATAAAATCAGAATTTTTTTCATCACTGAATTTTAGTAGCAAATGGGTTTAAGTAGCTAGTGGTTTACACAGCTACTCTTCTGATTTCCAAACATACAATTTATTCTTTATTCACCTTGAAAAACACCTCCACCCAATGGAAGACAATGCAAATTCTTATCGTGTCCCTGCATCCGGGTGAAGTCCAGGATATCCGGGGAATACTGAAAGAGAAGGCAATCTTCAGATGTAGATGTTCCTCTTCATATGTGGCAACCTGGTAACTATGATTGCAGGGATATTTAGGAGGGAGTGGGATATGTGAGCCTGAAGATAAAATCATGGTGCAGAGCCAAGATATGGCACTATAAATCCAAGCTGAAAGAGCAATTATGTCTATGTCATTTTTCTTTTGTTTCTCTTTATTATTATTATTATTATTATTATTATTATTATTTTTGAGATGGACCCTTTCTCTGTTGCCCAGGCTGGAATGCAGTGGCACAATCTTGGCTCACTGCAACATCAGCCTCCTGGGTTCAAGTGATTCTCCTGCCTCAGCCTCCCAAGTAGCTGGGATTACAGGTGCCTGCCACCACGCCTGGCTAATTTTTGTATTTTTAGTAGAGGCCCGGTTTCTTCATGTTGGCCAGGCGGGTCTCAAACTCCTGACCTCAGGTGATACACCCACCTCGGACTCCCAAACTGCTGGGATTACAAGCGTGAGCCACCACGCCTGGCTGATATTTTTTTAAAGATGATTTCCTCAAGTGATGTTTTTAGATCTATTATTTTTTTATTGAAAAACATTTATTTTTAAAATGTTTGTAATATAATTGTTTTATAGATTCATCAAAATGATAAATAATTTTAGTATATAAACATTAAATAGCTATCTGGCTATATATAATATAGTATAATATATAAATAATACTAGATATAATATTTATAAATATATGATAATATATTATTTATAATATATATTATTTATATATTATGTATAATATTTATATATAATTATATATAATGTATATAATTACATATAATATCTATATATAATTATATATATATAATTTAATTATTTATGATGCACCCTCTAGTAACCAAAGTTCTGTTTGGATGATAAGTAATAAATCCAAGGTCTTTACTGTTAACAACTGGGAAGTTGAATGTATTTTCTACTTATAATATGAAGACTGTGGTGGGCAGACTACAGAAGAAAGACCAGGTAATCAATGATGGACTTGCTAATTTTGAAATGCATATTAAAATTCATGAAATGATATTCAACTGGCAGTTGGATTTATGAATGTGGAATTTAAGAAAGAGGGAAATCTGACGAGAAATATAAATTTAGGAGTCATCAGCAAATAGATAGTAATCAATATCGTGAGATTAGATGCACTCACCAAAGAATGAAATGTACATGAAGAAAAAATGGTGATCAAGGACTGAGTCATGGTGCATTACAACATTAAGATAAGGGAGAGAAAAAATTACAAAGGAGGTTCAGAAGGAACAACTAATGAGGTAGAACTGCATTTATCACATTTATTGAAAGCCAGGTGAAGAAAATTTTTCAAGACAGGAAATAGTAGGTTCTGTAAAATGATTTTGATATACTAAATGAAAACTATTTGGAACCAGCCATTTGATATAGCACATAGAGTTCTAAATAGTATTTATACTGAAATAGTGGGGCAAAAGATTGATTGTTATAAATTTGGAGAAAATGAGGGGATAGGCAAAAGGGAGATGCAAAGGGGAACAAAAAATGGGGCATCTACCGGTGTATGTAAAAAAAGATAAATTTTTTTAGCATGAAAAATTAATATTACTCTTTTATGAGAGAGATAATTGTATACAGAGCAAATAAAAAATAAAATAAAGAAATTATGAATTACAGAGATAATGTTTTATGAGTAGAAAAAGCAAGTAAGAGTTAATTTAAAAGTACAAAGATTAAGATGTGAACAGACATCTCACCAAAGAAGATATGTAGATGGCAATTAAGCATATAAAAAGATGTTCAACATGTATCATTGAAGAATTGGAAATTAAAACAAGATCCCATGACACAACTATTAGAATTGCTAAAATCCAAAACTTTAACAACATCAAATGCTGATTGGGATTGGAAACATCAGGAACATTAATTCTTTGCTGGCAGGAACAGCCACTTTGAATGATAATCTGGCAGTTTCTACAAAGCTCAGCATAGGCTTAATATAAGATCTAGGAATCTTGCTCCTAGATATTTACCCAAGTGAAGTGAAAACTTATGTGAACACAAAAACTTACACATGAATGTTTATAACAGTTTTACTCATAATTGCCAATAGTTGGAAGCAACTAAGACATTATGTATGACACTGTAATGCACATACAGAATATTATGCATTTGTTTACACTCAGAACTGTATAACTCAAAAGGTGAACTCTAATTTAAACTATTGGCTTTAATAACAACGTATCAATATTGTTTCATCAAGTGTAATAAATGTACCATACTAATTCCAGATGTTAGCAAGAATTGTGAGGAGGTGAATAGTGGGTATATAAGAACTCTGTAATTTCTACACATTTTTTTCTGTAAATCAAAATCTGTTCTAAAAAATTAGAGCCTATTAAAAACAAAGCTATAATGAACATATAATTTTATTTTTTAAGCGGAAGAATTATATTCTGACATGAGCAGAAATCATTTATAACAGATGGGAAATCTGCACATTTGAGTATAGATTCTGATAGATGAGGAGATAAAGGGATGGATAATGGTGGAAATTGTTTTGATTGCTTCAAAATTTTCAATAAAGGAAGAAAAAACATCTTAATCAGAATAAGGATATTTAAGTGTTAGAACTTTGAGATAAGAAAAAAACATGTAAAATAATCTCTTAACCAAGTGTAAAAGTCAATGCATTAGGGAATTATGGTATAATTGCAATGCAATTAAGGGCTCAGTTGATATCTGTGGTTTTGGTTTCAAAGCAAGACCAGTCAATATGGTTTTGTATGATTTTTTTTCCTCCAGATATACCCAGATGTATGTTATATGTGTAGAATAGACAGGCATTGAATTTTACAGAGTTGTGGTTCTGCAAAGCAAATATGATAAAATATGAGGAGGAAAGAGAGAAGAAAGTGCGTGAAAGAAAGACATTTTAATAAATTGACATAGGTCAATTATTTTTGATAAGACTGCCATAAAAAAATGACAGAGACTGAGTGGTTTAAACCACAGAACATCTTCTTTTCTCATATTTCTGGAGGCTGTAAATCCAAGACCAAGGTGTCACCTGTGTGACTTCTCCTGAGGCCTTTCTTCGTGACTTGCAGATAGCCACCCTCTCGTTGTGTTCTAACATAGTTTTTCCTTGTGCACATGCATCCCTGGTGTCTCTTGTGTGTCCAAATTTCCTTTTACATGGACACAAGTCAAACGGAATTAATTTGATCATATTGCCTTTTTAAAGGCCTTATCTCCGAATGCAGTCACATTCTGAAGTTCTGGGGGTTAGGGCTTCAATATATGAATTGGAAGGGAGACACAATTTAGCCCATAGCACTCACCATTTTGAGCCCCCAAAAGTCTCACATACAAAATGCATTCACTCCTATCCCAATAGTTCAAAAGTCTTCAGCAATTCCAGCACTCATTCTAAGTCCCAAAAATCTAATTTAAATCAAGTGTGGATGAGACTCAAGTTATGATTCATCCTGAGGCAAAATTCTTCTCCAGGTGTGAACTTGTGAAACTGAACAAGTTTTCTGCTTTCAAACTATAATGGTGGGACGGATATAGAAGTGACATTCTCATTTCAAAAGTGAGAGATTGGAAAGAAGAAATAAGTCCTATGTCTCAAGCAAGTTCAAATCCTAGCAGGGCAAATTCCATTCGATTTTAAGGTTTGAAAATAATCCTCTTTAACCCAACACTCTGTCCTTTAGGCCTGCCAGGGTAGCAGCCCCATGCCTGCAGCCCAGGACAAGGGTAGCCTGGGTCACTGAAACTAAGAAGGGGTCAACCTCACCCCCTTAAGCCGCTGCTCTCTAAATCAAGGGTAGAATTAGCAGCCCTCATAATCTCTAAATTACCTCTGGGGTTAATTCTTCTCATTTCTTAAAGGATAAGGCATATTCACAGCCAGATAGCTCTATTGTCCCATCCTGTAGGATCCCAGAAGTCTGATACTCTTGCTACATTTTGTCCCTTTTGGTCTCTTTTTGTCTAGGCTGGCAAGTATTTATGCTTGTATAACCCCAACTCTTTTCCTGGATTCTGCTGAAGTGACTGAACAGATCCATGAGTCACATCTGTAATCTACTGAGTGATTGATTGTACACTTATATCCTTGGTGTTCTCTCCAGAACAAACTTTATCATTTTTTGAAATATGGGTAGGCTGAGAATTTTTCAGATGTTGAAGTTCCTATTGCTTAACAATTTCTTGATTACTTCTTTGAAAGTCCCATCTCCAAATACAATCAAATTCTGAAGTATTGGGGATTTGGGCTTCAACATATAAATTTAGGAGTTGATAAAGTTCAGCTGATAGGACCATACAATTTTAGTTTGTTAAAAATGGGGGAAAGGGCATCAAATAGAAAAGGATCCATGGATTGGAGTCATCTAATGTCAAAGGATTTTTTTGAGTTATAGAGAAAGTGCGCTGTTCTTTGGTGCTCAGAATCTGGGAGACTTGGAAATTAGATTATGAAGTGTTTTCAGTTCTTGATGATAGCATAGTATAAGATATTTCTATGAGCAACTGAGACAGAGAGAAAAATGAGTTCAGTAGGGGAAAGAAGTGCAAAGGCATGAGAAGCCAGGGCCTTTGGAAAGACTGTATATTTTGAAATAACAAAAAAATTTAACAGAAATCATATAGAATATAGTATGTGAGCAGGTGATAAAATCATTGATAAATAACTAACATACTAAGTGTATATATATATATATATATATATAATTGCTGTCATATGTGTGTGTGTGTGTATATATATATATATATATATGACCAATAATAAAATTTGTTTAATGATCTAATTTGATGTCATGACATTTAAAACTTGGAGCTTTAGGGATAAAAGAAGGAGAGTTGTATGAAATCATCAGCAAGAATTAAGGAGGACACATACCATACCTATAGACAGGTGGAGACCTGAGATTTGTGGGTCCCTGAAGAGAAATCAGAGTCCTGAGGGAAAAATTAGATTTTCTTTAGAACAAGAAGGTATAGAAAATACTTAGGGAAGAGTTTGATGATGATGATGTATGAATAATTTCCAGAGTTTTAGGAGATGGGGAAGGAAATAGTGGTATTAAATAGGGTTCTACTTGACATGTTTCAGAAGTCGAAGAGTGGTTGAAGGATTTTAGGAATTGAGGAAGCGTTATTAAATAAGAATGTAAATAGCCATATAAACATTAGTTTGCAGAAGATGACAGATGATTTGGGATTCTGGGCCTTCCTGTGATGACTAACATAAGTGGGTTAAAGGGCCTAATTAGCCTCATTAGATTCAAGGCTGATTGTTGTGCCGGGAAGTGTTCTAGTAGGTAGAAAGAATGATTTCTAACACTCCCCCTATTTATTGACAGAGGCAGAAGTGACTTGAAAAGAATTTTTTAATCCTCCTGCTCAGATCTGATAATGGAGGTAAAAGTTCTAGGTGAAGCTTGTCTTAGTCCTGGTATAGGCTTCTTATTGTTTAATTGGTAATTTCAATTTCAACTGCTGTTCTAGATCATTTAACTAAATTATATGATTTTATAGTTCAATTTTAGTCTGCATATAAGCTAATTATTTTACCCTGATAAAAGACATCATGACTAATAGATATATTGAGAGGTATAACATGAGATTCAAATCTGGAGAAATTTAAAGATATACTGACAGGCTCTGTATAGCAAATCTTAGGTACTTTAAATGCGTTGATAAAAATCATATGAAAGACATGTCAATATATTTTATATCCACTACATCTCTGAGACAGGCATGCCTTTTTTGTAGATTTTACATCAATTTTTGAATGCAAAATATGAGATGTTTGGTATATTTCTGGGACTTTTCCAACTAACATTAAACTCTGCCTGTTTCAAGCTGGGTCCTTGGCAAGACAAAGGCCAACAGTTGTTCAGACTGCATTACTAGCATCCATGTCCTTTGACCCTTTTAGCTAAATATATTCAATTTTTGCTGGAAGTATGCATTCCAGGTCAGGATGCATTACAAATCTTGTGGCACACTTTGATGGGAGAAACACAAGAGGAACTCCTAGGTTTTAGGACAAATGATCAAGTTCTCTTTCACTAAATAATGATTTTCTTTTTGGTAAATAATGCCTAGTTTGCTTTGGGTTGCTATTCTATTCGTCTATTAGACGAATAGAATGTCTAATCATAAAATAGCAAATGATCATGAAATCTAAGGTAGCTATCATATAATGGGTGTAATATGATTCACTGATGGGATATTTACTGCTTTCTTACCCATATTTGAAAAATGCTCTATTCTCAAATGAAAGTTATATTAACATGTCTATCTAGAAGTACCTCTCTATATCAGACTGGTAATTATCAGATGCTAAAATGTACCTTTGAAATTATTATGTGTTGATTTGTTTTCTATCTTGCACACTAGAAAGGAAACTATATAGAGATCAACAACTCTGTCTTGTTCTTAGCCATATCACCAACAACTCAAAAAGTATTTAGACTATGGTAATACATTTTAAAATATATATATTGTGAAGAACTCAACAAGAGGGAATTTCCTAAAGCCAATGTTCTGGATCTAAACAGCCTGTATTCTAAAAATCTCTTCAGATTTCTTTGCAAGTCTCTCCTACAAATCCCTTATTGCTGTTTAATTACACATGTGTTTGGAAATAGTTTTAACAGTCATTCTGTCTTATAATCCACTAAAGATATTAATGAGAGGGTAATCTGGAAGAGAATAATAAAAGAAAGGGTAAATATCTCTTTTGTAGAGGGAATATTTCTAACCTTCTCTAATAATCAAAGAAGGCGAACTAGACTCATTGTAATAGTCTACGTAAATATTTCCACATTCCTGTAGTCATTATACAACACTAATGGTTTTATCAAAAATTTTGAATATAGTATTGTGTAGAACAATTAATATCCAGTTTTAAAAATTTTACCCTTTATGAAATTGCCTCAGGTTGCAATTACATGGCTTGTGTTGAGTAATTAATTAAGCAGCTGCTTTTAAATCTGCATCATATTATTTTACTTTATAACCTCTCACAATGATGAGTTTATTACCTACCATGAAAAAATCTTTTCTCTAGGTCGAATTCTGCATTTACTGAAGTTAACTCTAACCATTCATTATTGTATTGTAGCATACTGTAAGAACAAACAGAAGATCAATTTTTTTCTTTTTTCTTTTTTTTTTTTTTTTTTTTTGAGACAGAGTTTCGCTCTTGTCGCCCAGGCTGGAGTGCAGTGGTGCGATCTTGGGATCTTGGCTCACTGCAACCTCCGCCTCCTGGGTTCGAGTGATTCTCCTGCCTCAGCCTCCCGTGTAGCTGGGATTACAGGCACCCACAACCATGCCCAGGTGATTTTTCTATTTTTAGTAAAAACGGGGTTTCACCATGTTGGCCAGGCTGGTCTCCAACTCCTGACCTCATGTGATCCACCTGCCTTGGCCTCCCAAAGTGCTGGGATTACAGTCATTAGTCACTGTGCCCAGCCCAATTTTCATGTCTTCTGCTAACAATAAGGCCTTTCCATTTTTTTAAATAACATAATCAAAAAGACCTATACACCATTTTTAATACAGAAAAAAATACTGTGATACTCCATGATATCATATGTAAACAGCTTCCAAAGTTCCCCTTCACTGTATTCTGAAGTACAGATCTTATTGCTCTTTCTGAGGTCTGGTGAATTTTTCAACCATTGAGTGTCTTCCTTGGGCATCCACGTCCATCTAACAATACACAAAGTCAAGTAGAGTTCGTAAGGGGGCTTGTGACATGGCTTATATTTTGCTGGGATTTCTCTAGCCACACCCAGAATAAATTAGGAAAATAACATTAATAATGATATCAAATAGCATTAATTGTGAGCCTCCCATGTACCAGATATGATGCTTTACAATTTATATTTATCACTTTATTATGATACCTATTATAGAATAGGTACTAATATTGCCTCATAGCTTAGGTGAGTGCAGGAGCCTATAATCACATAGTTGACAAGTCAAATAAATAGTATTACAACTCAGGGGTGACCTTGTGCCCAGTATTTCACCAGTCTTTTATAGCCAGGAGAAAAGCTAGATGTCCAAGGATGTATTACTCATATAATTAAATCTCATCTTTATTTATGACCCTTGAAAATATCGATAAAATAATAAATTTACTTATTAAATAAAAGGAAATCTGTGTCTGGATAACCCAAGTGTTAAGCACATGATGGTAATGAAGCTATTGTTGATTTTTGTTTAACAAATGGCTCACTATGTCATTTATGCATATCACAGACTGCAGATTTGCATCCATGATTGAGTCTTGGTAAATTACTCTAAATCTATCCTCACAAATGTAAAGTACAGATTTGGTCATTACTTTCATGTTTAATAACAAACTACAGTGCATTTTTAAGAGTGCATGAAAAATGTAGTGCAAAAGTTAGCGACTTTTGTACCAGTGTTGGGTATGTTTCAAATCTCCACTTATTGCTCTAGGGTAATGGTTAGTATTTACCAGGACCTGGTTTCTTGACTTGATTTTCAGCATTCCTACAGGTATGAGAATGCTTTGAACAATCAGACATAATACAATACTCAGAGCCTTCATTGATTTCACTGAAAAAAGGACATTGTACAATTTTTTAAAAGCAAAAAACATTGGACTGATTAATTTTATAATTTTGATTTCTGTCATGCTTGGTCATCTTCAAAAAATGTAGTTATTTTTCCTACTTACCTGCTTCCTCATTTCTACTGAACAGGAAACATTCCTAGAGAAGGATCACATAAATATACAGATGATCAGATCTGTATTTGGGTGAGATTCTCTAACTGTTTCTCTAGTCAACTTTTATCTCACATTTTTAAGTGCATCCCCACTTTCCCTAGGTACTATGAAAATACCACATTCAATCATTAAATAATGTTCTCTTACTTTTTTGTTTTTTGGAAGAATATTTTCACTACTCCCTTGCCTTAACCAAATTCAGGCTCTTCTGTGTGGGCACTGCTTCCCTTGGGCTGTGTAGTGTATTGGCACCATATAATAAAAGCGTGGCTACAAATAGATGGTTTTCAGACTACTCCCACTATTGATTTCAAGGTATTCTGCTTCCATCCCTTGTTATCTTATTTACCAATCACCACACTTCTTGATTACCATCCACCTACTGACCATTTTCTTGGGCTCTGAAGACTTTAATAAGTGGTTCTTCTTTTTACATGTGAATGCCAACTATTAGTCCAAGAAACATAATTCTAAAATGAACTTTCTTCCACCTACCACTCATGATTTCTTGATACTGCCAATGTTATCTTTTTATCTTATTAGACTTAAATAAGAATGCCCCCCTACACATTCCTTATGATGAGGCCAAATGCAGATGATGTTTACCTGATAAAATTTGTTTTAAAGAGAGCCATTAGAAAAAAACAAACAAACAGACAAATTGAGGAAAAACCCCTCAGATACCTGGCTTGAGCTGAGAGAATAAGAAAGAGGAGACAGATTTTTTTTTTACATCCTCTTATCAGCAGTTACCATAAATTGTTTTTTAATTTTAGGGTTCAAAACAATTGTTATGCATCTGAATAATTAATGCTTTCTATTTTACCAACACAATTCCTTGAGTATGTATGTATCTTATCAACTGAAATTCTCTGCTCTCAAAGTTTTAGACTTTAATATTCCACCTGACACTTAACATCATATCTTTTGATTTTTTTATTCATTGACTTTCAGTTCACCATATTTTCAAAGACATTTTGACATTCATTTGCTTTAGCTTGTTTTAATCACTTGCTCTCTGAGTGCTCATGGGCTGTTTACTTAATTCTTTGTGCTTCAGTTAACTCTGTAAAATGTTAGATAATGATATCAGCTTTATATGTTTGCTATGAGGATTCAACAAGACCAATAAGAACATTTCCTAGCACACAGTAATTATCAAATGATTCTTACCTATTCACATTAATCATACTATTCATATCATCATTATTTTATTATTATGTTATCTGTTTTCCAAATTAGTCCTTTCCTGACTTCTCTTCCTTTCTTTCTTCACCAAATTCTCCAGTGTTTACATATTCTCTTTCTGCATGTTCAACTACCATGCTCATTTTGCCTTTTCCTGGACCCACATAGCAAATTGCTACTAATAAATCAATCCCATTGTTATAATTACTTGTTCTGTTCCCATACCTACACTTCTAAGAGATGCCAAAGAAAAAGACTACACAACAAAAATGCTAGAGTCATTAGAAATTCATGATTTCCAATATCTGCTGTTAGTTCAACACTACTTGGCAATTTGATTACAGGTCATGAATCAGTCTTCATTAGTCCCTTTGGTGGTGACTACAGACTTTCACTATGCTCTCAAGTCTTTTGTATATCATTTTATCCACATTATCCATAGTATATAAAATGAAAACAGACACCAACTTGCTGAATTTCATATACCTCTCATTTATGAATTCATCTACCCTTGAACTCATGGATATTTTCTATTTTCCTTGAGATGGACAAAAGTTGCCTCTCTGAAGTCTAAGTCATTTCCTTGGTTTTATTTTATCCCAGACTCTTTTAATCTCCTCTTGGAAGCTACTTGGTAACTCATGTTTGTTTCTTTGCATTGAAATAAACAGGCTCCAATGTTTTTCCATTAAGACAAAAATAGGAAAAAAAAAACACCTTAAATATTTTTCCTTCAATTTCCTACTCTTTCCTGTTGCAGTCAAACTATCAGCAAGAAAAGTCTGTGGTCACTGTCCTGATTTTCCCAGAATATATTTACACCTCAATTGTCAGCAGTCCGTTTTCTACTTATTCTACTTACCTTTCCACTAAACCTATTTTGGTAAAATTAGTTTATTGGAACATTATTTATAATGGTGACTAACCTGTGATAAACATCATGTAGTATCTCTCTACCTCTCTCTCTCTTTATTCATCTGTCATGAGTTTTGACCTCCAAATTCAAATTTATTTTGAGAGACAAAATAAGCATTTTTACAGCAAAAATACATGGTGCTGTGTTCTCCATCCTGTCTCTTTTCACTGCATAGAAGAAACTCAGGGATAACCAGGGATGGTATCATGTTTTCATCTAAATCGAATGTGGCTGATGAAGCTTTCTAATGCTGCCTTAGGAAGGTGTTTTTGTTTTTGTTTTACATTATGGCAGTAGTTTCAAAAATTATGGATATTAGGAGAACTTTATTCAGTGTAGTATTCTTTGGCTTATTCATTGCATGACATTATATAATTCTCATTTTTCAGATAAGAATACAGATATTTGTATAATTAAATGGACTTGAACATGATTAGCAAGTGGCACAATTATTTGACTTTTTGAATTTTCCCCACAAATCAGACTGATTTATGGGAAACAATTATTTTGTTTTGTAATATAATATAGTGGCTGTCACTCTGTTCCAACCCCAAGGCTCTAAGGGTTATGCAGAACCTTGTTAATGGCTGCTGTGGCTGGGAGGGACCACATAGACCTCACAGACATCAGAAGCGGCATCTTCAACCAGGGCTGTTTCATCATAACATATATCCCAACTATATATTTTTAAATAATTTATTTTGAATCTATTTGAATCTAACTGAAGGGCTTAAATTTTCAAATTTCAAGGCTGTAAGACATAAACGTGACATATACATTAGAGCAATAATCAATTTTACTTACAAAGTTATAAGACAGGTAACATTATTACCTTCATTCTATAGAGGAAAAAAGCATAGCTTTCACATATAAATGCTAAAGATGACTCAGTTGGTCATAACTAGAACTGAACTCAGATCAATATAATCTCAAATAGTTTGTTTCTATGATATCAAAATAAAATATGATGTTTAACTAACACAGTGCGTGCCTGGCCAATAGTAACAAGTAAGCAGGGTCCTACACAATTTCTGTTACCTAGTAAATCCTCAATTATAATATTGTTCTTTCTTATATTTACAAAATGGTTTAAATATTACGAAGTTCTTACAAAGTCCTGGTTTTATCTGAAGCTCAATGCACTTCTGTAATGTACACAGACTAGATACTAACTTTCTCCTTTTTCAGATAAGAATACAGATATTTGTATAATTAAATGGACTTGAACAAGATTAGCAAGTGGCACAATTATTTGACTTTTTGAATTTTCCCCACAAAATCAGAATGATCTATGGGAAGCAATTATTTTGTTTTGTTATTTTTGAGACAGGATCTCACTTTGTCACCCAGGCTAGAGTTCAGTGACATGATCAGAGCTCACTGCAGCCTCTACCTCCCTGGCTCAAGTGATCCTCTCACCTCAGCCTCCCTGGTGGCTGGGACTACAAGCACATTCCACCACACCTGGCTAGTTTTTGTAATTTTTGTAGAGTTAGGTTTTCGTCATGTTGCCCAAGCTGGTCTCGAACTCCTGGGCTCAAGTGATTCTTCTGCCTCGGCCTTCCAGAGTGCTAGGATTACAGGGTGAGCCACTGTACCTGGCCAAACAACAATTTTGTAGTTCACTCATAGCATAGAATAAGAAGGGCAATATTATAAAATAGTTCAAAGCATTCTTACATAATACTGCTTGATAGTATCAATTCTATTCAATCTTTTCATTTTCCTTTAGCTTTAAACAAAATTTTCTTTAAAACGGTTTTTTTTGAATAGTGTAAAAAATGTTAGATACATTGCTGTCTCTAAAGTGGAAGATTAATTCTTTTTAAAAAAAGAATTAATTAATTAATTGAAACAAACACTGATTTTCTGTGGGAATCTAATTGATGAAGCTGCCCTTTTAATGTTTGTAGCTATAAATGCTTTAGATAGCTGTTTCTTACCTGACCCATCATATTGTAATCCAATGTGAACTAACATTCCAGTCCAGAGGGTTTGTACAAAAAAATAAAGCCTAAGAAACAGACCACCCAACAGTAGACAATGTCAAAACAAAATAGCTAGAGCTGTTTGCATCCTCCTTCTCTGTCACTCCAGTGGGTGAGAGTGGTGTCTTTATAATGCAAAAATAAATAAATAAATAAATAAATAAATAAATAAATAAACAAACAAACTAATAAAATAAAAGCAAGCAAGAAAAGAAAAGCAAAAGAAGAAAGAAAACAGTTTGCCTTATATTCCTCTTTGAAAATCATGAAGCACAAAGGTAGATATGGAGAATATACATCCCAAATAGCAGTGATTAATATAATACTACAATATTGTCTTCTTTGTTAATTGAGTATCAACATATTGTGACTTCTAATATTGATGTACTTTTTATGTACTTTAATATTATTATTTAAATTATCTTTGAATAGAAGTGTATGAGTGTTCTCTTTACATTTGTTAGTTTTGATTACTGGACTTTTAACTTTGAGACATAAGTATAATCAAATAATTAATTAATAAATATTCCCTTCCAACTACAAGAAAGACAGTATGCTAGTAGAAGAATGAATGATCAGTTAAATGAGCTAACGGCATCCAAGTTCAGATGTTTCCATTTTCACTCTTGAATTGGGTTAACACAAGATTCTAAAACTAAGGAATTTAAGCAAACACACACACACACACGCACACACGCACGCATGCACACTGGAAGTAAATATAACATAATATTTTGAGATAAAAAATTGACAGCCTAAAAATTCAAATCCCTTTATTCTGAGAAAGGAATTCAACATTACTGTAACGTAGTTTTCACACCTGTAAAATGGAAACACAAATATAGCTGTTTTATCAATTAATTCTTACCACATTCTTAAATACAGCCTGAATTATTTACCAATAGTATTGCCATAAGATATTCTAATTATGTTGTTGAATTCTGTTGCTATTACTTTTAAATCTTTCATTTCTGTTTGTATGTATTTTATACCATTGTACATTGTGCTACATACCTACACAAGAGAAAATTGAGTTTCTGTTCAACAAAATTGTATTTATTTACATTTTCTACTTGGCACGTGATACATCACATTAAAATATTCTGTGTTTTCTTTCTCTAAGATTCACTATGCACAGAGGTATGTGTATTATTATTTTTTGTTTTCAACTTATTTTTAAGGCTGCTGTAAGTATTGCCTGCATATTATTTAAAATATATGTACTGTTCCTGGAATAATAAATTTTGATCATGCTTCACTTTGGCTGTGAAAAAGACCCCACTAATGTACCACTTTACCTATGAATTTATGTGTGTACATACATTAAATGTATAAATATAAAATAAATATGTTACTACTGAAGTAAAACAAAAAATACACAAATAAAACTTTATTGATAGATTTATTTTATAAATATATAAATTTAATTTTATAAATCTATAAGATTTTAAAAATTTCATCACAAAATTTAAAGTAAAATTACAAAAATGAGAATTTAATGAACTTTTGAAAATTATTATTTTGTATTTACTACTTATCTCCCTCAGTACACTAAGAAACAACTCATTTTGGTGTCTCAGTATGTACTGTCTAATGGTATTTCTATGCATTTGCTGATTTATAACAAGAAATAATATTAACCCATCTTTAAGGCAGGCATTGTTGTCCAAATGTTCACAGCTAACATTTCAAAATGTGGCAATAGAAGTCAAAAGGAAAAGTTATGCTCCTATGTAATAACGAATAGTGTGTAAGTACATTTATTAAAATAAAAAAGTTTCTATGATTAAGTTTACATAAACAATCAATTCCCTAATTTACAGTCCTGTAATAGAAAATACCTTTACACTGAGTTTTGCTATAATACACTTTATTTTATTCAATGACAAAATATCAAGCTAATTCAAAACATTAGTCAGAGTTTGAAATCTATTACATTAAATTTTTGATTTCTTTATTGAGTAAAAATTTAGGCTACTGAGAATAATATCCATCATATTGACATATACTACAAACAAATGCTTTGGTGGTTATCAAATACCTCTGCTTTGTTTTGGCATTCCACCGCCTTCAAAAGCTATTTATTGACTCATATATCCTACTACTATAAACATTATGCCTTGTTTGGAAAGTGTATGACAGAAAAATAGAAAACATTAGTCAAAGGGTGATTTATAGCTTGCAAGAGATTTATCATATAATTCAGTTTATAAATACATTGACGTAAGTCTATATTAAATAAGCAAATTAGGATTTGCTTATTTATTTTTATTTTTGTTTGATTTTAATTTTATTTTTATTATATTTTAAATTGTATAAATAGATTTAAGTGTAAGTGTCCTTAAGCTATCAAGCAATATATAAATTACAGGACAACTAACCAAATTTCATTCCTATGCTTATCTATATGACATGACTTCATCCTCATATGGTGAATCACAAGATAAAATACTTTAGAAAATGATTTAATGTCATGAAGGATTTTCGTTTGTTGGTTTGTTTGTTTTTTTTTGAAAAGTTAACAGTATTGTTGTTTTAGTTTTTCTTCTTCTTTACTTTTTTGGTATTATATTATTAAAAGCTTTAACCATTCTCATATACAAAGGGATGCAAAATAAAAATAAGATTTTTAATTCAGACAT
Source organism: Homo sapiens (assembly GCF_000001405.40). NCBI lineage: Eukaryota > Metazoa > Chordata > Mammalia > Primates > Hominidae > Homo > Homo sapiens. The sequence continues at coordinate 103,504,771 of NC_000006.12, read as the reverse complement.
TTATAGACTGTGCATTTGGTGAGTACTCTTGGAACATGTTGGTTCATTCCCTTGAGTACTCCAGGGGAGCCAGGTGGCTAAGGGGAAGCTGGGCTTGGCATCCTGTGGTCAGCAGGGAGTCAGACTTAAGGACACCAAAAGAGCTCCTGCTGAAGAAGGCCCTTTCATGCTAGGAGGGTCTATTGGAATAAGGTTTTGTAATTTCTTCTGAACAATGAATTTATTCCTTCTTTGCTAACAGGAGGTACTAAGAGGATAGTGTTCCTTCTGCCTGAAGTATGACACTTTTGTTATTTAATTATAACAGCTTTTCAGTCATCAGGGAAGAAAGTAATTAATAAAAGCTGTTGGAAACAGTCCACTTGCGATGTTTGGTTCACCAGGATTGTGTTTTCTTTAGTTCTGGGAAAGTAGCAAACACAGAGCATCTAATTTATTATGCTGCAATTTCACTGTAAAGATGTAAAATAGCCTGCCTTATACGGTCTATACCTAGGGTAGTGTTTCTCACATGAAAGCCCACAAAACACTGGTGTTTCCTGGAAGTTTATCAGCTGCCAGTTTTGAGGTGAAAACAGAATTAATCAATGTGACAAATATAAAATATATAATGATTATTATCAAATATATAATTTTCCCGTGATGTCTTTCATACTTTTATTTATTCCTGCTTGTCAAAACCATGTTATTTTTGATCTTTTTAAAAATTTTAACTATTTAATTTTAGACTTCCAGGAAAGTTGCGAAAATAGTAAAGAGCTCTCATATACTTTTCACCCTGTTCCCCTAAAATATGTTACATTAAAAATAGTATTAATTTACTCAGAAAATGTTCAGTTCATAGAATATATTGCTTTGTTAGTGTATTCTCATGTAATTTCCATATACTTTTTCATAAGTTAATATTGCTTTGCATAATATGTCTCTAAATTGCAGAGAGATATTGATGCCTCCAAATTAAATAATTAAAATATACAGTTAATAAAAAATAATAAGATGCTAGAGCAGTGGTGCATACCTGTAGTTTTGGCTACTTGGGAGGCTGAGGTGGGAGGATTGCTTGAGCCCAGAAATTCCAGGCCAGACATAATGAGACCTTGTCTCTAAATAAAGAATTTTAAAAGCCCCTTGTCAGATGCGTAGTTTGGAAATATTTTCTCCCATTCTACAGCCTATTTGTTCACTCTGTTAGTTTTTATTTTGCTGTCCAGAACCTTTTTAGTTTAATTAAGTAACATTTGTCTATTTTTGGTTTTGCTGCATTTGCTTTTGAGGTCTTAGTCGTGAATTATTTGCCTAGGCCAAATCTAGAAGAGTTTTCCCTAGGTTTTCTTCTAGTATGTTTATGGTTTTAGGTCTTACCTTTACGTCTTTCATCCATCTTGAGTTTATTTTTGTATATGGTGAGAGATAGATGTCCAGTTTCATTCTTCTGCATATGGCAAACCAATTCTCTCAGTACCATTTATTGAAAAGAATGTCCTTTCTCCAGTGCATATAAATGCCAACTTTGTCAAAGATCTCTTGGTTGTAGGTATATGGCTTTATTTCTGAGTTCTCTATTCTGTTCCGTTGGTCTATGTGTTCATTTTTATACCAGTACCATGTTGTTTTGGTTAACATAGCCTTGTAGTAGAATTTGAAGTTAGGTAAGGGATGCCTACAGATTTGTTCTTTTTGCTGAGAATTGCTTGGCTGTTTGTGCTTTTTCTGGGTTCCATAAGAATTTTATGATGGTTTTCTTCTAATTTTGTGAAAAATGACTTTGGTATTTTGATAGAAATTTTATTGAATCTGTAAATTGCTTTGACAGTATGATCATTTTAATGATAGTAATTCTTCCAATTCATGAGCATGGGATAGTTTTTCATTTATTGGTGTCGTCTGCAATTTCTTTCATCTGTGTTTCATCTGTGTTTTGTAGTTTTCCTGTAGACATCTTTTACCTCCTTGGTTAAATATATTTCTAGGTATTTTTTCTTGCAGCTATTGTAAATGAAATTGACTTCTTGAATTGATTCTCAACTTGATCATTATTGCTGTATAGAAATGCTACTGATTTTTCTATGTTGATTTTGTATCCTGAGACTACTGAAATCATTTGCAAAAGGAGTCTTTTGGCAGAGTCCTTAGGGTTTTCTAGGTATAAGATCATATTGTCAGCAGAGATATTTTGACTTCCTCTTTTCCAATTTGGGTGCATTTCATTTATTTCTCTTGCCTGATTGCTCTCACTAGCACTTTCAAGTACTATGTTGAATAGGAGTGGTGAAAGTGGGCATCCATGTCTTGTTCCATTTGTTAGGTGGAATGTTTTCAACTTTTTTCCTTTCAGTATGATGTTGGCTGCGAGTTTGTCATATGTGACATTTATTATTTTAAGATATGTTCCTTTGATGCCAAGTTTTTTGAGTGTTTTTATTATTAAACCATGTTGAATTTTTATCAAATGCTTTTTCTGCATTTAATGAGATGATCATATGGTTTTTGTTTTTAATTCTGTGTATTTGATGGATCACATTTACTGATTTGTGAGGAACTAACATCCAGAATCTACAAGAAACTCAAACAACTTAATGAAGAAATAACAGGTAGCCCTATTAAAAAATGGGCAAATATATGAAGACATTTTTCAAAAGGAGATATACAAAGGGCCAACAAGCATATGAAAAAATCCTCAACATCAGTAATCATCAGAAAAATGCAAATAAAAACTACAATGAGATATCATCTTACAGCAGTCAGAAATACTATTATTAAAAAGTAAATTTAAAAAAGATATTGGTGAGGATGCAGAGAAAATGAAATGCTTATCCACTGTTGGTGGAAACTTAAATTAGTACAACCTCTATGAAAAACAGTGTGGAGAGTTCTCAGAGAACTAAATATAAAACTACTATTCAATCCAGCTATTCCACTATTGGGTATCCATCCAAAGGAAAAGAAATCAGTATATCACAAAGACACCTATACATATATGTTTATTGCAGCACTATCTACAAAAGCAAAGATACGGAATCATCCTAAGTGTCCATTAATGCATGATTGGATAAAGAAAATATAATATATATGTATAGATATGTAAAAATATCTATATTTAACATTATATATTACATTTACATTATAAATACATATAATGTATATTTTACATTGTTTTATGTCATATATTAGATAAATATATAAATATAATGTATATATTTACATTATATAATATATACATTATGTCATATATTTATATGTACATAATAAATATAAAATAATAAATTATATATTTTATATAATTATTTTTGTTATATATTTATATATAACATATTTAATTATTATTTCATTTATATATAATTATAAAATAATAATTATTATAAATAATGTATTTATTATGTACATATAAACATAATTATAGATTATATTGTCATATATGATAGGTATTATTAATAATAATATATGTTATTATATATATATTCATAATATAGCTCATATGTGTTTATCAGCCTGATTTCCAGTGGTCAGTATCAACATTATGGTCATGGTGTCCCTTGGGTTGCCAGAATATGCTTTGCCTGCAAGCACAGCTGGTTGGGATTGATTGGCTTGGATTTAACGTCCATTTGGAGGCAGCCCCTAACCAGTGAGTGACTGATGGGTATAAAACTATAAATACTCCAGCTACATTGCCTCAGGATGATTTTGAAATATATTTTATACTGTTTCCAAGATTTCCTTGACAAGTTTAAGCTTCAGATACTCCCTGCAATAAAGCCAGTTACTCACTGGCTTAATAACGCTCCCCTATTGGGAGAGTTCACTTTCCTTCACTTCTGTTTATCACTTTCCTTCTGCTCTTCCAGTGTCTCCCCATCTCACACGTTAACAACGTGTGTTTCATTCTTCTATCAGGGTCTGCTTGTTGGTGGGGATGAGGGGAGAGGATGGATATCAATTAAAATAACTCATAACATTTACGATTATTTAACAATTTATTACGGAGACCTGTGCATTTTCTACTAAGTTAAAACATTTAATTTTCTAGATTTTGGTCTGACATGCTCATTACTTATCCAATCAATGGATATTTCAGTGAGAATTCTATTTAATTTATCTGAGCTCATTTTTGGCAAATATCCAAAGTTCTCTGATAAAACTCTAACGAGTGAATTCTAACGACTTATAGCTGCTGATACTTTCTAATTTAGTGGAAATAAATAGTAAGAAACAGTTCTAATGAATATAAAATATAGTTTAAGTTATTTGTCACCTAACCGGAGATCTATTGGTGAATTTACAAACAATGTAGTACCTGACAATGATATGAAATGATTATGGCTACTAGTGTTTAGTAATATCATATTTTAATTTTATGATATAAAATTATGACTAATGACTTTCTTTCTTAAAGTTCCTAAAATATTTGTTGCTCCTGTGAGCTGATACTCATTAATTGGAGGTCAAATGCCAAAACTGAGTAAAATAGGATTAGGGTAGCTGTGCAATACTCTCAACCACAGCCTTCAAATAATGGAAAACCGGAGCTTTAGCTCCTTAGGAATTCATAACACTTCCAATAGAAGGGAGTGGTAGAAATGAGTTTTAATATGAACAATTAAAATAGGATTTGCACCTGTCTATATTCAGCTCCTTACCCAATTCTAAAAAATTTTTTTAAGGGGGGAATTGTTAGGAGAAGCAAACATATCACTCAGAGGGAAATTCTTCATCAATATCAACATCAACATTAAGAGATGAATTCAATTTCCACTGACTGAATGTGAGATCCTTAAATGTGAATTGTCACCATTTCTTATTCTCAATGCACATACTTTGTAGGATACAAATGTCATGTTTGATATTTTAAAAGTGTGAATTGGTTATCTATCTCTGTATCTACCTATCATCTATCTACATCACTTATCCTTTTATATGTGAGAAATAGACTCCTATTATCCACACTAGCTCATAAAACCTTCCATTGAGTTGTCACAGCAGCCCAAGCTCTTCAAAATTACCTACAAATAGATTAAAGTTATGTTAAATAATTAAAAAGATTCCATATTTTCTGGCTTTTGTATAATCAAACTATCAGCAGGCAGTATGGACTCAACAGTAACCTGGTTAGAATATGTTCTTATGCATTGTAAAAAATGGAAATAAGGATTTTATGTCTTTTTCACTCTTTGTTAAATTTTCAATCTTTGCAAACAGGATATATTCTTATTGTTGATAAATGAGCTACTGAGATTCTTAAAATTGTACTGTCACACTCTTCTGAATGGGTATTGCTTAATTTATAGTAACCTGCCATTTCTTATCTAACAGCTTTGCATTCAGTGTTTCACGTAATGGACTCCATTTAGTTCTGGAAATTTATGTTCCACACTATCATGGGTTTTGTTTCCCTGGTAAAATTAGCATCAAAATATCACAAAAGAGAGAAAGAAGTTACCAAATTCAATGGAAAAATGTACTTACAGTCCTGTAAGAGATTACCGGTTTTACTTTCTATCCTGTAATAAATAAAATGGCTAATATTGTCTTAACTTTGGAGGTGACCTTACTATACTTTAAATAATGAAAGAAAAATGATTTATGGTGATGCATTTTATGCTATTACATTTGGACATGTATAAATGATGTGCGGAATTTCTATAATGCATCAATTTACACATGTTATCTAAGGGTACAGTACCTTTCCCTTTTTGGCAGACCATGTACTTCTGCTGTATAAAAATTACCTTAAGCCATACTCAGAATAAAATATCCATAATTTACGTTGAAGTATCAGTACAACCTGGAAAATATAGGTTTAATTTTATTTAATGAAGTAAAACTTCTGATATGTGTCAATGCTTCATATAAACATTTAACAAACACCTAGAAAAAAGCAAGCATCTCTCCCTCTCTCTCTATATATATATATATGTGATATTTTCTATACATTATTAGCCAGATGTTAATTTCATTTTTATATTATTTCATAGTATTCATTCTTAGTTTAATTTAAAAAGTTATTTTAAAGATAGCTCTGTAGTAAAGTTTCAGGAAAATGTATTAAATGTCCAGATTATTTTCTATATTACTAAAATAAAAATGTATATGTCAGAATATATTACACATATATGTATACATATATATGACATCAGAGTTTCATTATTTATATTAGACAGAGTTAACCTGATATATAGGCATCTAGTGATATTCATACCTATAATTAAGAGGCAACTTTCCACTGTCTGTATAGAAAGACTATTATCTAGAAATACTCTAGGGACAGTGAGGACAACTAAGTTAGAAGAAGCAATAGGGCTTAAGAATGCTGTAAGGGGTAAGGTCTCAATATCATCATTACTTATAGTCAGTAAAGATAGGCTAATTACATATCATCACTGCTTATATTCGGGGAAGAGAGGCTAGTTTCACATCAGTAAAGTTCATTGGCATGGCCAGATTAGAAATATAATATTTTTGAAGGTGGGTATCTCTTGTACATTTATTAGCTTAGATTTGTTGTTCATTTGCCTCATGGATAAGTTTCTTTAGGAGTTCTGAAAATGTGTTATTTCACTTTTAGAATACTAAATTTATTTTTTTCTCAGAAAACATTGTTTTATTTAATTCTATGCTTTCCAGGTGCTATATTGTATTGTGACATTTTTGGTTGAAAGAAAATACACAGATATAGAACATCAGCAAATTTGATATAATGTTAAGCATTATCATCTAGCTTTAAGTTTGAACATAAGTAGTTTTAATTTCAATAATTCTTAAGGTCTGTGGATTAAGGTACCCTGAAGACATGATTACTTGTATTTCTAATTAAATGAGGGTTAACATCCTTACTTATAGTATTGGTTAGCTGATTCTTGTTATAAGAGAAAAAAACATAAACCTTTGTATCCATTATCTCACTATTTAAATAAGAATAACAAAGTTATTAGTATCTGCTCTTGGGTTTCAACTGAATTAAAGGTCTGACATTTCAAATAATATTAAAACAACTCTTCAAAGTCTGAATTAACTTTCTACCCATACACATAATTTTGGAATATTTTATAGCATTATTTTTGATGAGTTATAAGGTTTTTTGTTTTTAATAAAATATTTTAATATACATTCCGTAAATATAAACCAAAACAAGATTGAGTCATACTACAAATTTATCAGAAGAATTAACTTTAAAAAATAGAATCATGAATACATGAATGTACAACTTTTAATTTCACTTTTCTTCAGTGTATTTTACTTCACTTTTATTTTCTGTGTTATCCTTATAAAATTAATTTTTACCATTGTATTATTTTTACAATGAATACTTAGGAAATACTAATAATTTCCTGTTTGAAAAATTCTGACCTAGCCATAGTATGGTTTAAAAAAGGTATTTGTATTTGGAGTTCCACTAAGTATAATGTATTATCTATTAAATAATTTCATTAATCCAGTTTTAAAGATGCTTTATAACCAACTATGTTGAATGAGTTTTAACAATCCTCTGAAGCCTCTACCCTGTTGGGAATTTGTTTTTGCTAGACATAATTTGGACATTATTTAGGAGATATAAAGTTACTTAAAAATTACAAAAGGGGTGGACTGAGGAGCCAAGATGGCCGAATAGGAACAGCTCCGGTCTACAGCTCCCAGCATGAGCTATGCAGAAGACGGGTGATTTCTGCATTTCCATCTGAGGTACCGGGTTCATCTCACTAGGGAGTGCCAGACAGTGGGCCCAGGTCAGTGGGTGTGCACACCATGCACGAGCCGAAGCAGGGCGAGGCATTGCCTCACTCGGGAAGCGCAAGGGGTCAGGGAGTTCCCTTTCCTAGTCAAAGAAAGGGGTGACGGACGGCACCTGGAAAATCAGGTCACTCCCACCCGAATACTGCGCTTTTCCGATGGGCTTAAAAAATGGCGCACCAGGAGATTATATCCAGCACATGGCTCCGGGGGTCCTACGCCCACTGAGTCTCACTGATTGCTAGCATAGCAGTCTGAGATCAAACTGCAAGGCAGCAGCGAGGATGGGGGAGGGGTGCCCGCCATTGCCCAGGCTTGCTTAGGTAAACAAAGCAGCCAGGAAGCTGGAACTGGGTGGAGCCCACCACAGCTCAAGGAGGCCTGCCTGCCTCTGTAGGCTCCACCTCTGGGGACAGGGCACAGACAAACAAAAAGACAGCAGTAACCTCTGCAGACTTAAATGTCCCTGTCTGACAGCTTTGAAGAGAGCAGTGGTTCTCCCAGCACGCAGCTGGAGATCTGAGAACAGGCAGACTGCCTCCTCAAGTGGGTCCCTGACCCCTGACCCCCGAGCAGCCTAACTGGGAGGCACCCCCCAGCAGGGGCACACTGACACCTCACAGGGCCGGGTACTCCAACAGACCTGCAGCTGAGGGTCCTGTCTGTTAGAAGGAAAACTAACAAACAGAAAGGACATCCACACCAAAAACCCATCTGTATATCACCATCATCAAAGACCAAAAGTAGATAAAACCACAAAGATGGGGAAAAAACAGAGCAGAAAAACTGGAAACTCTAAAAAGCAGAGCACCTCTCCTCCTCCAAAGGAGCGCAGTTCCTCACCAGCAGCGGAACAAAGCTGGACAGAGAATGACTTTGACGAACTGAGAGAAGGCTTCAGATGATCAAATTACTCCGAGCTACGGGAGGACATTCAAACCAAAGGCAAAGTAGTTGAAAACTTTGAAAAAAATTTAGAAGAATGTATAACTAGAATAACCAATACAGAGAAGTGCTTAAAGGAGCTGATGGAGCTGAAAACCAAGGCTCGAGAACTATGTGAAGAATGCAGAAGCCTTAGGAGCCGATGCGATCAACTGGAAGAAAGGGCATCAGCAATGGAAGATGAAATGAATGAAATGAAGTGAGAAGGGAAGTTTAGAGAAAAAAGAATAAAAAGAAACGAACAAAGCCTCCCAGAAATATGGGACTATGTGAAAAGACAAAATCTACGTCTGATTGGTGTACCTGAAAGTGACGGGGAGAATGGAACCAAGTTCGAAAACACTCTGCAGGATATTATCCAGGAGAACTTCCCCAATCTAGCAAGGCAGGCCAACATTCAGATTCGGGAAATACAGAGAACGCCACAAAGATACTCCTTGAGAAGAGCAACACCAAGACACATAATTGTCAGATTCACCAAAGCTGAAATGAAGGAAAAAATGTTAAGGGTAGCCAGAGAGAAAGGTCGGGTTACCCTCAAAGGGAAGCCCATCAGACTAACAGCAGATCTCTCGGCAGAAACTCTACAAGCCAGAAGAGAGTGGGGGCCAATATTCAACATTCTTAAAGAAAAGAATTTTCAACCCAGAATTTCATATCCAGCCAAACTAAGCTTCATAAGTGAAGGAGAAATAAAATACTTTACAGACAAGCAAATGCTGAGAGATTTCGTGACCACCAGGCCTGCCCTAGAAGAGCTCCTGAAGGAAGCGCTAAACATGGACAGGAACAACCGGTACCAGCCGCTGCAAAATCATGCCAAAATGTAAAGACCATTGAGACTAGGAAGAAACTGCATGAACTAATGAGCAAAATAACCAGCTAACATCATAATGACAGGATCAAATTCACACATAACAATATTAACTTTAAATGTAAATGGACTAAATGCTCCAATTAAAAGACACAGACTGGCAAATTGGATAAAGAGTCAAGACCTATCAGTGTGCTGTATTCAGGAAACCCATCTCATGGGCAGAGACACACATAGGCTCAAAATAAAAGGATGGAGGAAGATCTACCAAGCAAATGGAAAACAAAAAAAGGCAGGGGTTGCAATCCTAGTCTCTGATAAAACAGACTTTAAACCAACAAAGATCAAAAGAGGCAAAGAAGGCCATTACTTAATGGTAAAGGGATCAATTCAACAGGAAGAGCTAACTATCCTAAATATATATGCACCCAATACAGGAGCACCCAGATTCATAAAGCAAGTCCTGAGTGACCTACAAAGAGACTTAGACTCCCACACATTAATAATGGGAGACTTTAACACCCCACTGTCAACATTAGACAGATCAACGAGACAGAAAGTCAACAAGGATACCCAGGAATTGAACTCAGCTCTGCACCAAGCGGACCTAATAGACAGCTGCAGAACTCTCCACCCCAAATCAACAGAACATACATTTTTTTCAGCACCACACCACACCTATTCCAAAATTGACCACATACTTGGAAGTAAAGCTCTCCTCAGCAAATGTAAAAGAACAAAAATTATAGCAAACTATCTCTCAGACCACAGTGCAATCAAACTAGAACTCAGCATTAAGAATCTCACTCAAAACCGCTCAACTACATGGAAACTGAACAACCTGCTCCTGAATGACTACTGGGTACATAACGAAATGAAGGCAGAAATAAAGATGTTCTTTGAACCAATGAGAACAAAGACACAACATACCAGAATCTCTGGGACATATTCAAAGCAGTGTGTAGAGGAAAATTTATAGCACTAAATGCCCACAAGAGAAAGGAGGAAAGATCCAAAATTGACACCCCAACATCACAATTAAAAGAACTAGAAAAGCAAGAGCAAACACATTCAAAATCTAGCAGAAGGCAAGAAATAACTAAAATCCAAGCAGAACTGAAGGAAATAGAGACACAAAAAACCCTTCAAAAAATTAACGAATCCAGCAGCTGGTTCTCTGAAAGGATCAACAAAATTGATAGACTGCTAGCAAGACTAATAAAGAAAAAAAGAGAGAAGAATCAAAGAGACGCAAAAAAAATGATAAAGGGGATATCACCACCAATACCACAGAAATACAAACTACCACCAGAGAATACTACAAACACCTCTATGCAAATAAACTGGAAAATCTAGAAGAAATGGATAAATTCCTTGACACATATACGCTCCCAAAACTAAACCAGGAAGAAGTTGAATCTCTGAATAGACCAATAACAGGAGCTGGAATTGTGGCAATAGTCAATAGCTTACCAACCAAAAAGAGTCCAGGACCAGATGGATTCACAGCCGAACTCTATCAGAGGTACAAGGAGGAACTGGTACCATTCCTTCTGAAACTATTCCAATCAATAGAAAAAGAGGGAATCCTCCCTAACTCATTTTATGGGGCCAGCATCATCCTGATACCAAAGCCGAGCAGAGACACAACCAAAAAAGAGAATTTTAGACCAATATCCTTGATGAACATTGATGCAAAAATCCTCAATAAAATACTGGAAAACTGAATCCAGAAGCACATCAAAAAGCTTATCCACCATGATCAAGTGGGCTTCATCCCTGGGATGCAAGGCTGGTTCAATATATGCAAATAAATAAATGTAATCCAGCATATAAACAGAACCAAAGACAAAAACCACATGATTATCTCAATAGATGCGGAAAAGGCCTTTGACAAATTCAACAACCCTTCATGCTAAAAACTCTCAATCAGTTAGGTATTGATGGGCGTATCTCAAAATAATAAGAGCTATTTATGACAAACCCACAGCCAATATCATACTGAATGGGCAAAAACTGGAAGCATTCCCTTTGAAAACTGGCACAAGACAGGGATGCCCTCTCTCACTACTCCTATTCAACATAGTGTTGGAAGTTCTGGCCAGGGCAATGAGGCAGGAGAAGGAAATAAATTGTATTCAATTAGGAAAAGAGGAAGTCAAATTGTCCCTGTTTGCAGATGACATGATTGTATATCTAGAAAACCCCATTGTCTCAGCCCAAAATCTCCTTAAGCTGATAAGCAACTTCAGCAAAGTCTCAGGATACAAAATCAATGTGCAAAAATCACAAGCATTCTTACACACCAACAACAGACAAACAGAGAGCCAAATCATGAGTGAAGTCCCATTCACAATTGCTTCAAAGAGAATAAAATACCTAGGAATCCAACTTACAAGGGATGTGAAGGACCTCTTCAAGGAGAACTACAAACCACTGCTCAAGGAAATAAAAGAGGATACAAACAAATGGAAGAACATTCCATGCTCATGAGTAGGAAGAATCAATATCGTGAAAATGGCCATACTGCCCAAGGTAATTTACAGATTCAATGCCATCCCCATCAAGCTACCAATGACTTTCTTCACAGAATTGGAAAAAACTACTTTAAAGTTCAGATGGAACCAAAAAAGAGCCTGCATCGCCAAGTCAATCCTAAGACAAAAGAACAAAGCTGGAGACATCACACTACCTGACTTCAAACTATACTACAAGGCTACAGTAACCAAAACAGCATGGTACTGGTACCAAAACAGAGATATAGATCAATGAAACAGAACAGAGCCCTCAGAAATAATGCCACATATCTACGACTATCTGATCTTTGACAAACCTGAGAAAAACAAGCAATGGGGAAAGGATTCCCTATTTAATAAATGGTGCTGGGAAAACTGGCTAGCCATATGTAGAAAGCTGAAACTGGATCCCTTCCTTACACCTTATACAAAAATCAATTCAAGATGGATTAAAGACTTAAACGTTAGACCTAAAACCATAAAAACTCTAGAAGAAAACCTAGGCATTACCATTCAGGACATAGGCATGGGGAAGGACTTCATGTCTAAAACACCAAATGCAATGGCAACAAAAGCCAAAATTGACAAATGGGATCTAATTAAACTAAAGAGCTTCTGCACAGCAAAAGAAACTACCATCAGTATGAACAGGCAACCTACAAAATGGGAGAAAATTTTTGCAACCTACTCATCTGACAAAGGGCTAATATCCAGAATCTACAATGAGCTCAAACAAATTTACAAGAAAAAAAAAACAACCCCATCAAAAAGTGGGCGAAGGACATGAACAGACACTTCTCAGAAGAAGACATTTATGCAGCCAAAAAACACATGAAAAAATGCTCACCATCACTGGCCATCAGAGAAATGCAAATCAAAACCACAATGAGATACCATCTCACACCAGTTAGAATGGTAATCATTAAAAAGTCAGGAAACAACAGGTGCTGGAGAGGATGTGGAGAAGTAGGAACACTTTTACACTATTGGTGGGACTGTAAACTAGTTCAACAATCGTGGAAGTCAGTGTGGCGATTCCTCAGGGATCTAGAACTAGAAATACCATTTGACCCAGCCATCCCATTACTGGGTATATACCCAAAGGACAATAAATCATGCTGCTAGAAAGACACATGCACACGTATGTTTATTGAGGCAATATTCACAATAGCAAAGACTTGGAACCAACCCAAATGTCCAACAATGAGAGACTGGATTAAGAAAATATGGCACATATACACCATGAAATACTATGCAGCCATAAAAAAGGATGAGTTCATGTCCTTTGTAGGGACATGGATGAAATTGGAAATCATCATTCTCAGTAAACTATCGCAAGGACAAAAAACCAAACACCGCATATTCTCACTTACAGGTGGGAATTGAACAATGAGAACACATGGACACAGGAAGGGGAACATCACACTCTGGGGACTGTTGTGGGGTGGGGGGAGGGGGAAGGGATAGCACTGGGAGATATACCTAATGCTAGATGAGGAGTTAGTGGGTGCAGCGCACCAGCATGGCACATGTATACACATGTAACTAACCTGCACATTGTGCACATGTACCCTAAAACTTAAAGTATACTAATAATAAATAAATTTAAAAAATTACAAAAGGATGGGGATTAGTTCTATATGAGAATATTTCAGAACACAATAGTAAAAATATGGGAATCAGAAATTTCAGATGTTTGTGCTGGATTTCTATATTTCTTTTATTTGCCTTTCTTTGTCCTCTGCTTTATTCTCTTTTCTGCAAAAGGATTATTCAGATTTTAAATTGATTGCTCGAGGAATGCTGGATCCTCAACACTAATCTGACTTGCATGGGGTTGTGTACACCACCTGCGATATTGGCAGTAATATTATCCTCTCCCCTTTTGCATATGAGGAACAATATCACGGGGGGGATGGGGTGTACATCCCCTGCACTATTGAGAGTAATACCGCTTTTTTTCCTTTCTGGATAGTAAGAACAACATCACAGGAGGGCTGTACAGCCCCTGCAATATTGCAAGTAATATTATCCTCCTCGCCGGTGGATATTAAAAACAATATCACGGGCAAGATGTACACTGGCTGTGCTATTGAAAGCAATATCATCCTCTCAGAACCTGGATTTTGGGAACAACATCACGGAGGGGGGGTGTACACTTCCTGCCATATTGGGAGTAATATTATCCTTTCTACCCATGGATATTGAGAACAATATCACAGAGGGGATGTTCCCCTCACCTATGAGGTTGGGAGTAATAGTATCCTCTCCCCACCTGAATATTAGAAATAATATCACGGGGGGTGTACCCCCTTTTCAGTATTTGGAATAATATCATTCTCTTTTCTTTTAGAAATTAAAAACAATATCACGGTGGGGAGTACACACCCTGCAATATTGGGAGTAATATCATACTCTTCTCTCCTGGGTATTAGGAACAATACACAGAGGGGGTGTACAGCCCCTGTGATACTGGTAGTAATATCATAATCTTCCCTCCTGAATATTAGGAACAATATCACAGGGGGGGATGTACACCTCCTGCAATATTGGAAGTAATATCATGCTCTCCCCCCTGGATATTCACAACAATATCACAGGGGGGTTTAAACCACCTTCGATATTGGAATTAGTATTATCCTCTTTTCCACTGGATATTAGAAACAGTATCACAGAGGGTGTGTACACCCCCTATAATATTGACACTAATATTATCATCTTTGCTCCTGGAAACTGTTAACAATATCAAAAGGGGGGTGTATACCCCTGCAATAGAGGGAGTAATATCATCTTCTACCCGCTGGATATTAGTAAAAATATCACAGGGGATGTGTCCACTCCTCGTGATATTGGGAGTAATATCATCTTCTTCCAGTCGGGATACTAGGAAAAATATCTCAAAGGGGTATACAACCCCTGCGATATTGGGAGTAATATCATCCTCTCATTCTGTAGATATTAGAAGCAATATAACAGGGAGTGTACACCCCTGCGATATTGGGAGTAATATCATCTTCTTTCCCCTGGATATTAGGAAGAGTATCACATAGAGGGTGTACACCCCCTGCGATTTTGAGGGAATATCATCCTCTCCCCTCATAATTATTGGGAACAATATCATGGGGGAATGTTCACCTCCTGCCGTACTGGGAATAACATCATCTTCTCCCCACCTGGATATTAAAAACAGTATCGGGGGACACACCCTGCGATATTGAGAGTCATATCATCCTCTCTTGCCCTGAATATTAGGAATAATATCACTAGGGTGGTGTACATCCCTTGCAATATTGGAAGTAATAACATCCTCTCCTCCACTGGATATTAGGAAAAATATCACAGCGAGGATGTACACCCCCTGCAATATTGAGAGTAATATCATCCTCTCCCCCCTTAGGTATTAAGAAGAATATCACAAGGGAAAAGTACACCTCCTGCGAAACTGGTTGTAATATTATCCCCTCCAACCCTGGATATTAAAAACTATCAGAGGAAGCATGTACATTCTCTGCAATATTGGGAGTAATATAATTTTCTCTCCATTAAATATTAGGAAAAATATCAAAAAAGTGTACACCCCTTGCTATATTGGGAGTAACGTCATCCTCTCCCTTCTGGGTAAGAGGAACAATACCACAGGGGATGTGAACACTTCCTGCAATACTGGAAGGAATATCAAGCTCTCCCTCCTTGGATATTAGGAACAGTCTCACAGGGTGGGTTTACACCCTCTGTGATATTGGAGGTAATATCCTCTCCCCACATGGATATTAAAAACAATATCACAGAAGGGGTGGACACCCCCTTTGATATTGGGTGTAATATCATCCTCTCCCCCCTGGATATTAAAAACAATATTACAGGAGGTTGTACATCCCCTGCATTTTGGGGAGTAATATCATTCTCTCCCCCTACTGAATATTAGGAACAAAATCACGGGAGTGGTATACACCTCCTGCGATATTGGGAGTAATATCTTCATCTCCCCACCTAGATATTAGGAACAATATAATGGGGGGGGTGTACAACCTCTGCGATATTGAGAGTAATATCATCCTCTCCCCCTCTGATTATTAAGAACAATATGACAGTGAGGTGTACACCACTTGTAATATTGGAAGTAATATCATCCTCTCCCCCGTGGATATTAGAAACAATATAACAGGGGGGATGTACACACCCTGCGATATTGACAGTAATATCATCCTCTTTCTTCTTGGATATTAGGAACAATCTCACAAAGGGTGTGTACACCCCCTGCAATATTAGGAGTAATATTCTCCTCTGTCCTTTTGGATATTAGGAACAATATCACGGGGGTGTGTACACCCTCTGCGACATTGAGAGTCATATCATTTTCTCCCCCCTATATGTTAGGAACAATATCACAAAGGGGTGTACCCCTGCTGCGATATTGGGAGTAATGTCATCTTTTTTCTTCTGGATATTAGGAAGAATACCACAAGAGATGTGTACACCCCTACAATATTGAGAGTAACAGCAACCTCTCCACCCCTGGATATTAGGAAAATTATCACAGGGGTGGTGTACACCCCTTGCGATACTGGGAGTAATGTTATCCTCTCCCCCCCCTGGATATTAAAAACAATATCACAGGGGGGCCGTACACCCCCTTTGATATTGACAGTCATATTATCCTTTCCCTCTCTGGATATCGGAAACAATATCGCATTGTGAATATACATTTTATGCGATATTGGGAGTAATATCATTCTCTTTACCCCTGGATATTAGAAACAATATCACAGGGGTTTGTACACCCCCTGCGATATTTGTACTAATAGTATCCTCTTGTTTCCTGGATATTAAAACCAATATCACAAGGTGGGTTTACACCCCCTTTTACATTGGGAGAAAGATTATGCTCTCTTCCCTTGGATATTGGAAACAGTATCACAGAAGGGGTGTACACTCCCTGCAATATTGGAAGTAATATCATCCTCTCTTCCCTGGATATTAGGAACAATATCACAGGAAGTATGTACACCCCTTGTGATATTGGGAGGAATATCATTCTCTCCCACCCTAAATATTAGGAACAATATCACAAGGGGTGGTTCACCCCCTGTAATATTGGGCGCAATATCATCCTCTCTTTCTCTCTCCGAACATTTGGAAAAATATCACAAGGGAGGTGTACACCCCTGGTGATGTTGGGTGTAATATTATCCTCTCTTTCTTTGGATATTAGAAACAATGTGACAGAAGGTGTGTACACCCCCTGAGATATTGGAAGTAATGTTATCCTGTCTCCACTGGATATTAGAAACATTGTCACCTGGGGGATGTACACCCCCTGTGATATTGGGCATAATATTATTATTTTCAACCCTGGATATTACGAACATTATCACAGAAGAGGTGTACACCCCTGCGATATTGAGAGTATTATTATCCTCTCCCTTTTTGGATATTAGCAAGAGTGTTACAGAGGGGTGTACACCGTCTGTGATATGTGGAGTAATATCCTCTCCCCATTTGGATATTCAGGAAATATAACGTGGGGTGTACACCCTCTGCGATATTGAGAGTGATGTCCTTTTCTCCCCCTTGTGATATTAGTAACAATATTATAGGGGAAGTGTACACCGCCTGAGATATTCAGGGTAATATCATCTTGTCTCCTTCTGGGTATTAGGAACAATATCACAGGGTGGGTGTACACCCCCTGAGACATTGGGAGTAATATTTTCTTCTTCCCTATATATTAGTAAATATATCACAGTGGTGGTGTACACCTCCTGCGATATTAGGAGTAATATCATCTCCCCCCATGAATATTTGGAACAATATCACAGGGGGGTTGTACACTTTCTGCGATATTGGGAGTAACATCTTTCTGTTTTTCCCAGGATCTTAGGAACAATATCACAAAGAGGGTGTACACTCCCTGCAATATTGGGAGTGCTATCATCTACTCCCCCTTTGAATATTAGGAACAGTATCACAGAGGGGATATACACATCCTGTGATATTGGGAATAATATTATCCTCTCTCCTTTAGGATATTAGGAACAATATCACAGAAGGGGTGTATGCCCCCTGCGACACTGGAAGTAATATCATCCTCTCCGCCTCTGGATATGAGAAACAATACCACAGGGGGGTGTACACACCCTGCGATATTGGGAGAAATATCATCCCCTCCATAACTGGATATTAGGAACAATATCACAAGGAAGGCATACACCTGCTGCGATATTGAGGGTAATATCATCCTTCCCCACCCTGGATATTAGGAACAATATCACAAGGGGAATGTACACGCGCTGCGATATTGGGAGTAATAGCATTCTCTCCCTTTCTGAATATAAGGTACAATATCACAGGGAGGGTGTACTCTTCCTGCGATTTTGGGAGTATTTTCCCATGGATATTCTGGTGTACACCCCCCTGTGATATTGTTTGTAATATTTAAGAGGGAGTTGATATTACTCCCAACATCGTAAACACCCTGTGTGTGCATCCTCTGTGATATCATTTGTAATACCCAGGGTGGTAGAGGATGATATTACTCCCAATATCACAGGGTGCATATGCCATCGTATGATATTGTTTGTAATATCTAGAAGAGGAGAGGGTGATATTACTCCCAATATTGCAAAGAGTGTACACCTTCCTGTGATATTGTTCATAATATTCAGAGGGGGAGAGGATGGTATTCCAATACCGCAAGGAGTGTACACTCCACTGTGATATTGTTTATAATTTTCGGGGGGGAGCATAAAATTATTCCCAATATCCAAGAGGTTGTGCATCCCCCTGTGATATTGTTTGTAATATCCACTGGTGGAAAAAATGACATTACTCCCAATGTCGTCGCAAAGATTGTACAGGCTCTGTGATATTGTTCACAATATCCAGGGGGAAAGAGGATGATATTAGTCTTAATATTGCAGGGGCTGTACACCCCTATGTAATACTGGTCATGATATCCAGGTGTGAGAGTATGTTATTACTGTTAATATCGCAGGGGGTTGTACACCTCCTTGTGATATTTTTCATAATATCAAAGCAGGGAAAGGATGATATTACTCCCAATTTCGCAGGGGGTGTACACCAACCTGTGATATTTTTGCTATTATCTGGAGGGGAGAGCGTGATATTACTCCCAATATCTCAGGGGTTGAACACTTTTCTGTTCTATTGTTCGTAGTATTCAGGTGGAAAGAAATGATATTAACCTCAATATCACAGCGGGTGTACACCCTCCTGTAATATTGTTTGTAATATTTGGGGGGGTGAGGATGATATTACTCCCTATATCGCAGGGGTGTACACCTTCCTGTGATATTGTTTGTAATATCTAGAGAGGAAGAGGATGATATTACTCCCAATATTGCAGAAGGTGTACACCCCTCTGTCATATTGTTTGTAATATCCAGGTGGGGAGAAGATGATATTACTCTTTATATCCCAGGAAGTGTAGAATCCCCTGTGATATTATTCATAATATCCAAAAGAAGAGCAGATGATATTACTTCCAATATCGCAAGGGGTGTACACCCTTCTGTGATATTGTATGTAATATTAAGGGAATGAGAAGATAATATTACTCTGAATATCACAGGGGTGTACACCCCTGTGTGATATTTTTCATATCCTGTGGGAAAGAGGATGAAGTTACTCCCCATATTACGGGAGGTGTACTGTCCCCTGTGATATTGTTCTTAATATTTGGGAGGGAGGATAATATTGCACTCCATATCACAAAGGGTGTACACCGCCCTGTGATATTTTTCATAATATACTGGGGGTAAATGATGATATTACTCCCCATATCGCAAGGGTGGACACCTTCCCTGTGATAATGCTCATAATATCCATGGGAGAGAGGATAATATTACTCCCCCATATCCCAGGTGTGTACACCCCTCTGTGATATTGTTTGTAATATCCAGCTCTTGAGGGGATAACATTACTCCCCATATCGCAGAGAGTGCATGCCCCCAGTGATATTGTTCATAATATCCAGGGAGGGACAGGATGATATTACTTCTTATATCACAGGGGTGCACATTTCCCTGTGATATTTTTCGTCATATCAAGAAGAGAGAGGATGATATTACTCCCCATATCGCAAAGGGTGTACACCTTCCTGTAATATTACTTGTAATATCTAGGGGAGGAGAGGATGATATTCCTCCCCATATCGCATGGAGTGTACACTTCCCCCTGTGATATTGTTCGTAATATTCAAGGGGAAAGTGGATGATATTACTTCCCTGTGATATTGCTTGTAATATCCAAAAAGGGAGAGGGTGATATTCCTCCCAATATTGCAGAGGATGTACACCCTTCTGTGATAATTTTTGTAATATCCGGGGGGTGGGGAGAGGATATTACTCCAAATATCGCAGGGGGTGTATACTCTCCTGTGAAGTTATTCGTCATATCTAAAAAGGAAGACAATAATATTACTCCCAATATCTAAGGGGGTATACACCCCCCTGAGAAATTGTTTCTAATATTCAGGGGAAAGAAGATAATATTACTCCGAATATCTCAGGGGGTGCAAAACACCCTGTGATACTGTTCGTAATATCCAGGAGGGGGAGAGGATGATACTACTCCTCATATCACAGTGGGTGTATACCCTCCTGAGATATTGTTTGTAATATA
Source organism: Homo sapiens (assembly GCF_000001405.40). Classification (NCBI taxonomy): domain Eukaryota; kingdom Metazoa; phylum Chordata; class Mammalia; order Primates; family Hominidae; genus Homo; species Homo sapiens. The sequence goes on along the minus strand of NC_000006.12, from coordinate 103,484,128 downwards.
TGGGGTTGGGATAGGATGATATTGCTTCCTATGTCACAGAAAGTGTACACCCCTCTGTGATTTTTCTCGTAATATCCAGAGCGGAGAAAGGATAATATTACTCCCTATATCACAGGGTGTGTACTCCCCTTTGTGATATTGCTTGTAATATCCAGGGGTGGAGAAAATGATATTACTCCCCATATTGCAGGAGGTGTACACCCTTCAGTAATATTGTTTATACTATTCAATTAGGGAGAGGATAATATTACTCCCCATTATCACAGGAGGTGTACACCCACCTATGATATTGTTCCTAATTTCCAGGATGTGAGAGGATAATATTACTTCCCATATTGCAGGGTGTGTAACACCCCCTGAGATATTGTTTGTAATATTTAGGGGAGAAGAAGATGACATTACTCCCCATATCCCAGGGGGCACACACACTCATGTGATATTGTTTGTAATATCCAGGGAGGGAGAAGAGGATACTACTCCCCATACCGCAAGAGGTGTACACACCCCTGTGATATCGTTTGTAATATCTAGGAGGGGAGAGGATGACATTACTTTCCATATCGCAGGGGGAGTACGCCATTTGGTGATGTTGTTCGTAATATTCAGGGAAAGAGACGTTGATATTTCTCCCTATACTACAGAGGGTATACACCCCCTTGTGATATTGTTCGTAATAGCCAGAAAAGGAGAGAAGAATATTACTCTCCATATCGCAGGGAGTGTACATTCCCTTGTGATATTGTTTTTAATATCCATGGGGGGAGAGGATGATATTACCTCCCTGTGATGTTGTTAGTAATATGCAGAAGAGAGGATGATATTACTCCCCATATCACAGGAGGTGTACACCTTCCTGTGATATTTTTTGTAATATCTAGGGAGGGAGAGGCTAATATTACTCTGAATATTGCAGGAGGGGTACACGCTCCAGTGATATTGTTTGAAATATCCAGGGGGAGAGAGGATGATAAAAATCACAATATCATAAAACCCTGTGTGTACACCTGCTTGTAATATTGTTCTTAATATCCAGGAAGGGAGAGGATGATATTACTCCCAATATCGCAGGGGGTGTTCACAACTTTGTGATACTGTTAGTAATATCGAGGGTGGAAGCATATGGTACTAATTCCATTATCACAGGGGGTGAACACTTTTCTGTGGTATTGTTCGTAATATCCCGGGGGGGAGGGGATAATATTACTCCCAATATCGCAGGGGGTGTACACTGTCCTGTGATATTGTTCGTTATATCAAGATGGGGAACGATGATATTACTCCCAATATCGTATGGGGTGTACACCCCCTGTGATATTGTTACTAATATACAGGGCCAAAATGATGATATTACTACCAATATTGCAGTGTACAACCCCCCCCCCCCCGGCTTGTGATATTGTTCCTAATATCGTGGAGGGGAGAGCATGATATTACTCCCAACATAGCAGGGGGTGTACAACCCGCTGTGATATTGTTTCTAATATCTCGGGCGGGGGTGGTGGGCAGAAGATTGTATTAATCCCAATATTACAGGGATGCCCACTTACCCTATGATATTGTTCTTAATATTTAGAAAGAATGAGGATGATATTACTCCCAACATCGCAGGGGGTGTATTTTCCCCTGTAATATTATTTTTAATATCCGGGGGGGGAGAAAATGATATTACTCCGAATATCGCAGGTTGTGTACACCCCTCTCCCCTGTGATAATGTTTTTAATATCTAAAGCGAGAGAAGATGATGTTACTCCCAATAGCGCAGGGGGTGTACACTGCCATTGTGATATTGTTTCTAATATCTGGGGGTGGGAGAGATAATGATATTACTTTCAATATCGCAAGATGGGTAAACTCCCTCTGTGATATTGTACCTTATATTCAAAAATGGAGAGGATAATATTAATCTCAATATCACAGCAGATGTACACCCCGCCTTTGATATTGTTCCCAATATCCAAGGTGGGAAAGATGATATTACTCCCAATATCGCACAAGGTGTACACCTCCTCTAATGATACTGTTCCTAATATCCAGTTGGGGGGAGAATGATATTTCTCTCAATATCGCAGGGGTTTTACACCCCTCCTGTCATATCGTTTCTAATATCCAGGAGAGTTGAGGATGATGTTACCGCAATATTGCAGGGGTTGTACACCCCCTTTTTGATATTGTTTTTAATACCAAGTGGCAAAGAGGAGGATATTACTCCCAACGTCGTAGAGGGTTACAACTTTTCTGTCATACTGTTTCTAGTATCCAGGGGCAGAGAGGATGATATTATTTCTAATATCGCAGTGGGTGTACACCCCCCCGTGATATTGTTCCTAATAATCAGAAAGGGAGAGGATATTACTCCCAATATCGCAGGGAGTGTACATCCCCTCTGTGATATTGTTCCTAATATCAAGAAAGGGAGAGGATGATATTACTCCCAATATTACTGGAAATGGACACCCGCCCTGTGATACTGTCCCTAATATCCAGAGCGGGGGTGGAGGGAAGAATAGTATCACTTCCAATATCGCATAGTGTGTACACCCCCCTATAATGTCGTTTCTAATATTTAGAGGGGGAGAAGGTGATGTTACTCCAAGTATTGCAGGGATGTACACCCTTCCTGTGATATTGTTCCTAATATCCTGGAAGAATGAGGATGATATTACTCCAAATATCACATAGGGGTACACCCCCCTGTCATATTGTGCCTAATATCCAGGAAAGGGGAGGATGATATAACTTTCAATATCACGGGGCTATACACCCACCTTTTTATGTTGTATTTAATACCCAGGAGGAAGAGGAACATATTACTTTCAACATCGCAGAGGGAGTACACCCCCTGTCCCATGATATTCTTACTAATATTTATGGGAAAATAAGATGATATTATTTTCAATATCCATGGGATGTACACATTCCTGTGATATGGTTTCTAATATCCACCATGGGAGAGGATTATATTACTCTTAACATCGCAAGGGGGGTACACCCTTTCTGTGATATTGTTCCAAATATCCAGGGGAAGAGAAGATAATATTACTTTCAACAATGCAGATAATGTACAACCCCCCTGTGATACTGTTTTTAATATTTATGGGGGAAAGTATAATATTACTCTTAAAATTGCAGGGGATGTACACACATCCCCCCCGTGATACTGTACCCTGTATCCAAATTGGAAGAGGATAATATTACTCCCAATATCGCAGGGAGTGTACACCCACATGTGATATTGTTTTTAATATCCAGGAGGGAAGAACAATATTACTCCCAATATCTTAGAGGGTGTACACCCCCCTTTGATATTCTTCCTTATATCCAGGTGGAGAGAGGATGATATAACTTTCAATATCACAGGGGGTGTACACATCCCTGTGATATTGTTTCTAATATCCAGAAGGGGAGAGGATGATATTGCTCACAATATCACAGTAAGTGTACACACCCCCTGTGATATTGTTTCTCATATCCAGTGGGGGAGAGGATGATATTAATCCCAATATTGCACGGCGTTTACACAACCCCCTGCGATATTGGGAGTAATATTATCCTCTCTCTCCCTGGATGTTAGGAACAATATCACGGGGAAGGGTGTACACCCCATGCGATATTGGGAGTAATATCATCCTCTTTTCCTCTGGATATTAGAAACAATATTACAGGGAAAGTGTACACACGCTGCGATGTTAAGAGCAATATTATCCTCTTCTTCCCTGGATACTAGAAACAATATCACGGGGGGGTGTACACCAAATGCGATCTTAGGAGAAATATTACCCTCCACCTTCTGGATATTATAACCAATATCACAGAGAGGTGTGTAGACCACCTGAGATATTGGGAATGATATTAGCCTCTCCCCTTCTGCATATGAGGAACAATATCACGGAGGGGTTGTACTTCCCCTGCGCTATTGAGAGTAATATCATTTTCTTCCTTTCTGGATAGTAAGAACAATATCACAGGAGGGCTGTACACCTCCTGCGATATTGCAAGTAATATTATCCTCTTCGTCCATGGATATTGAAAACAATATCACAGGCAAAGCGTACACCCCCTGCTATATTGAAAATAATATCATCCTCTTCAAACCTGGATGTTGGGAAAAATATCACGGGGGGGTGTACACTCCCTGCTATATTGGGAGTAATATCATCCTTTCTCCCTGTGGATATTGAGAACAATATCACAGAGGTGGTGTTCCCCCTACCTGCGATATTGGGAGTAATATTATCCTCTCCCCACCTGAATATTACAAATAATATCACAGGGGGGATGTACATCCTTTAAATATTGGGATTAATATCATTCTCTTTTCTTCTGCATATTAAAAACAATATCATGGGGGGGGGACACCCCCTGCAGTATTTGGAGTAATATCATACTCTCCCCTCCTGGATATTAGGAACAATATCCCAGAGAGGGTGTATACCTCCTGCAATATTGGAAGTAATATCATCCTCTTCCCCCAGGATATTCACAATAATATCACATGGGGGTGTTCACCCCCTTCGATATTGGGATTAATATAATCCTTTTTTTCCACTGGATATTAGAAAAAATATCACCTGGGATGTGTACACCCCCCACAATATTGACATTAGTATTATCGTCTTTCCTCCTGGATATTATTAACAATATCAAAAGGGGGGTGTACACCCCCTGCAATAGAGGGAGTAATATCATCTTCTACCCCCTGGATATTAGTAACAATATCACAGGGGATATGTTCGCTCCGTGCAATATTGGGAATAATACCATCTTCTCCCCGTCTGGGTATTAGGAAAAATATCTCAAGGTTATGTACAACCCCTGGGATATTGGGAGTAATATCATCCTCTCATTCTCTAGATATTGGGAGCAATATAACAGGGAGTGTACACCTCCTGCGATATGGGGAGTGATATCTTCTTCTCCCCATTTGGATATTAGGAACAATATTACGATGCGGGTACAACCTCTGAGATATTGAGAGTAATATCATCCTCTCCCCGTCTGATTGTTAAGAACAATATCACAGTGGGGTGTACACGCCTTGCAATATTGGAACTAATATCAGCCTCTCCCCCATGGATATTAGAAACTATATCAAAGGGTGGATGTACACACCCTGCGATGTTGACAGTAACATCATCCCCTCTCTTCTTGGATATTAGGAGTAATATCCTCCTCTTTCCTTTTGGATATTAGGAACAATATCATGGGAGATCGTACACCCTCTGTGATAGTGATATTTTCTCCCCGCTATACATTAGGAACAATATCACAAAGGGGGTGTGCACCTGCTGCGATATGGGGAGTAATGTTATCTTTTTTCTTTTGGATATTAGGAAGAATACCACAAAGGATGTGTACACCCCTGCAATACTGAAAGTAATATCAATCTCCCCCCACCCCTAGATATTAGGAAAAATATCACAGGGCTGGTGTACACCCCTTGTGATACTGGGATAATATTATTCTCTCCTCATGTGGATATTAAAAACAGTATCACACAGAGGGTGTACACTCCCTTCAATATTAGAGTCTTATTGTCCTCTCCCACTCTGGATATCAGAAACAATATCGCAGGGTGAATGTACATTTTCTGCGATATTGGGAGTAACATCATTGTCTTTTCCCCTGGATATTAGGAACAATATCACAGGGGGTTGTACACCTCCTGCGATATTTATACTAATAGTATCCTCTTCTTTCCTGGATGCTCAGCTTCAATCTAATAACACTTAAAATTTTACCTCTTTTAGAAAAATATTTCCTAAATGCTTCAACTAAGGGATATTATTTTTCTCATTCCACAACAAAATAGTGTTTCTACAATATCCTATATGTCTCTTCCTTTGACATAAATTTTGCATAATTAATTGTATTTAGTTTTTTAATTAAAATTAGCATATCTGTTATTTAGTCCAGGCTTAGGTAAAGGGAAGAGAGGCCTAAACTGGGCTTGTCAAATATTTTTCCTACATTATGGCAAATCCCTAGAGCCTCTAGAATGTTATTATAAAGGATTATAGAGCTAAGTCTAGATTCAGCAGGGAAGAGTATAAGAATTGATTAACGATGTCCACCCTAAATGCACAAGTAAACAATGGTAGCAAGTATACGGTATACCCAGTATGTGCTTTAAACTTTGGTTTATTAAAACAAGTAATTTTACATCCGAAAACATTTTAAAAGAAGTTCAATTAGCTGAGCATGTTGGTGTGTGCTTGTAATCCCAGCTACTGGGGAGGCTGAGACATGAGAATCTCCTGAGCTCAGAAGGTTAAGGCTGCAGTGAGCCGTCATTGTGCCAGTGCATTCCAGCCCCGCCTGAGTGACAGAACAAGACTCTGTCTGAAAAAAAAAAAAAAATCCAAACATTTTTAAAAACTTTATGATAAACTAAAAGCTTTAGATTTTGAAATACTCAACATATATAGATGATTTATTTTAATCAAAAATATTAATAATATTTTTCTATATCTTTTAAGCATTCATTGAACTAAAATGTAATACATCAAAATAATCTGTTTAATGAAATTTGTCAAGGTAACATGATCAAGGCTGATTTTTTTACATGAGTTTGCATATTAATTTTCACTCTTGCAGTTTATATTGTAATGGTTGCTTCTACAGCTTATTTGTTTCATGGCCATCTGCTTAGTTCTGCTATGTTGCACCTAAAGACCGAGAGTCATTGTGATAAATCATCTATAGTCTTCTGAAGTGGAGATCTGAGAAAGAAATCAAAGATTAAGAACACAAATGTCTAATTGTTGCTTTGGGTGATGTTATATTAACTTTTTCTTTCTTTAATTTACTTTGTAAGAGAAAATCCGATGATTTTAAATTACCACATTCCCTTCCAATGTGAAACTCTTTTTATTGTGATTAGACTTTTACATTAAGTGTTAATGTTTTTTACTAAAAAGCGGGTTAATTGTACCATCTATTTTCAATTAGCCCTAATAGAGTGCATGTATAGTTGTAGAGTCTATTGTGCATGTCCTTATAGAAGTGAGGAAATGAAGTAAAAGCTATGATTTTGATGTCCTGATAAATTATATTCCATATTATTTTAGATTAACAGAATGAATGAGTAATGTTCCATGTAGACATGAACTTTGACAGCATTTTTGGCTCTTAATAAATCTTAATACTGGCTGATATCCAATCCTTTTTTATAGGAAATTAAATCTAGATTATCCTATTACCTTTAGTCACTGATTTCTAAAAGCTGAAATATAGTCATTATTGACGTTTCATCACTAACCATGCATTTTAAAATATTTAGGTTCTTTGTTATCTTATAAGAACATGTGTGCCAAAGCTTAAGGGGAGGTATTGAATTAAATATATTGTTCTATTTAGTGAAAAATGAAATGTAAACTTTTTAGTTTTGGAATTGTGAAAAATATATATATATGTATATATATTTAAATATATATGTAGATCTACATGAAAACTTTCTGAAAAACAGTGAAAAGGCTATTTAATGGTTGATAAGAATTACAAAAGTAACTGAAAACAAATTATGCTTTTAAAAGGTCAAATATTTTCTTTGCCATATTTCATAGTTTTAATTCAGGAACACCAATGTATCGAAAACATATCAAATAGTAGTATTGGAATAGGTGATTACAGTTAACTGACAATTATTAAGTGTTGAAGTCTTGTTCTGTTTTCTACATATCTGCTGGACTTTTAGTTGTCAGCGGTTGGGGTCAGGGATGGGTAAATAGGGAGAGCACAGAGGATTTTTAGAGCAGTCGAACTATTCTGTATGATACTGTAATGTGGATGCATGACACTACATACTTGTCCAAAGACACCGAATGTATAATACCAAGAGTGACTCCTAACGTAAACTTGGATTTGTATTGCCTCGTCAATTATAACAAATGTACCATTCTGGTGGGAGATGATGGCAATGAGTGAGGGTCTGCATGTGTGGGGGCAGGTAACATAAGGGAAATTCCAGTGCTTTCTGCTGAATTTTGCTATAAACCTAAACGTGCTTTAAAAAATAAATTCTGTTTAAAAAGAAGCAGAGAAAAAAATTAAATGATCTCATAAATGTTAAAAATTTAAAAACTGTAAGATTCCTGGAGAATAAAGGTATTACATTGTTCCATATAAATTTTAGAAACATTTTTAAAGTAGCTATCTCTTAAACATTTCTAATTGAGTTAATAAATTAACTAAACATTTCAATACCAAGGAGAGTTCTTTAGATTCATTTAATCTAGAATTATCAAAATAGATTTAATTACGTAATCAATTTTTAGGGAATATCTGTTAACATTTTATTGAGCTGATATTCCTCAAAATAAGGAATACAAATAAATTTATAGACTCAAGAAAAGCAGCAGAGAAATGATAGAGTAAATAATAAATCAAGTCAAATTGTATATTATCCTTTGAACATAACAAAATCAGGTGGAAGTTATTTTAGGTCAGTAAAGGGAGCCAAAATTAGAAAACTACTGATGTATTCATTTATGCAAAGGAGAAATACATGATAATTTTGACATCTTAAATGTCATTTGATAAAAACAAATATCATTTCTGTATAAAAATTTACCTTAATGATAGAATGAAAGTAAACGTCCTTAACAGTAAGAAAAGTATTACAATACTTAAGAAAATATCAGTTCTAATAATTAAACATAAAAAATGCTTAAAGATGATTTGAAGGATTGAAAATGAAATTATGTTTTTAAACTATGATGACTATAAGAATTACTTACGAAACTTTTAAGGAGTGGAAATGTTTGTGCCACAAACCTGAGAATTTTGATCTTGAAAGTTTGATGTGTGTCTACATTATTTGTTTAAATGATAATAATATAATAACAATATTTATTAAGTAATTTCTCTATGTCTCAACTGTTCTGCAGTTTTTGATGTAAATTCTTTAAACTTTATAAAATCTGTATAAAAAAGAGCTATTATTATTTTCATCTTACAGATGGGGAAACTAAAGTGCACAGAGGCTAACTAAATAGCCTGTAATCTTTATGAGACAAACAATGGGACGCAATTCATCAGCTGAATTTGGATCTGCTTTTTTTGTAATTAATGAAAATCTCAGGCACTAGCCTCATTGGAGCTATATTTGAAAAACATTCTTCTAATCGTTTTGACATTAAGACAGCACCTATAATTAGTATATATCTTATAGTTGATACTGCTATGTCAATTTCCCCGGGTTTCCATTTACTCTTGCTATAGCAGATTCAAGACACATTTTATTCAAGGAAAGGTTCCTTGAATTAGGGTTTTAAATTTAGGTTCAATCAATTTGCTTTCCTTCTTCCATATTTTTAATTACAAATTTGTATATTGAAGTTTGCCAGTCTTTTTTATCAACATTTTGTTTTCAGAATCCTTTAGTCTTGAAAGTATTGAGAAACACAGAGCTTTTGTTTATGTTCATCTAATCTATGAATATTTACCAATTTAGAAATTAAAGCTAAGAAATTTGTAAAACACAACAATACTCAAGACACCTCACATTAGCCATCAGAGCAATGAAGTCACCACAGGACATATAGTCTCTGGAAGTTATCTGCATCCATCTGAGAATGAGAATTAAAAAGGCAAATGATGTTTTAGTATTAATATGAAAATAATTTTGTCCTCCTAGACCACCTGAGACAGTCTAGAGGACCTGAGGCATCTCAGACCACATTGTGAGAAGTTGCCATGTTGTTTAACTTCCATTATAATCTTTCAAATATCTTTTTAATATCTATCTCCATTTTTTGCTTTTATTATTTAATTCTCTATGTCCCTTTCCAAACTTCAAATCATATATATATATTATTTATTTTTGATTGAATACCTGGTAGCTTAGCCTTCATTTCTGAGGTTTAAAATTTTTATTTTATTTTTGAAATTTTCTTAGCCACATCAGTTTCCTGTTTCCCTATTCTTGCTGAGAGTCCATTTTATTTCTGAGATTTCTGATTCTCATGTTCTTTCACATCTGCAATGCTTTTGCTTTTAATTCAAATTGCAAAGATATGTTAAAGTTTTCTTTTGCTTCTAAGATAGATCTTCTTGGTCCTCATCTTTTTTCTTCATCTTTTGTAAAATTTAGTGCTTTTATTTTTCTTGTTGATTTTAATTATGCTAGCTTTTCCTGAAATAACTGTGCACATTATCAACAGAAAGTACCAGGGGTTTGGGTGACTTGTCAACTTTCTTAATTTAATGATACTGTTTTCAGTCTGCCTCTCTTATTTTTGTACTGCTGTTTTCATTAGTTACATTTTTCTTCTTACCACTATTTTCTTGATCCAAGGGATACCTCTTCTTTACAAGGTAATCTCTCTCTCACTCAAAAGTGGCCCTTTCTTAAGAATGCCACCTCTGGTTGTGTGTACTGTCCACTCTTGTCTTTTTAACCTCCTAATTGATGGTGCTTTGACACACTGGATCTCGATACACTCAGTTGTTACCACTCAGAGTTGGGGCCTCTCCTTCTTGAAGTAAACTCTGGTTGGTGTTTTCTGAGCTCTCTTACCACCAGGATGCCTTCATTCTCACAGGTTTTCCAACTAACTCCAGCTAAACTTTCGCTGCATTACACTGTCAGGTCAGACACTGATTCCACTTATCTTGAATGTTTATTTTTCAATTTATCTACAGCATAGTTTATAGTACTCTTTTTTTTTGTTATTCTGTAGTTGTAGGCGATAGACATTTTTCCTTTCTGTTTTTTTAAATAGGGAGGGATGTGTATCTTGGCATCTGCTGTTATCTTACACACTGGAAGCCTCCCACCGAATATATAATTATTATGCTTTCCATATATGGATTTTCTACATGGTTACTTGTCAAATATTCTTGTTCATTTTTATGATCTCTTATTCTTTGCTTATATTTTCTGGTCTATCCTTTATTACTTTAATCAAAATATTGATTCTTCATTTTGTAGTTTATAAACCCAGTATCTGTGATGTTTGTGAGTCTCCTTCAGCTTTGTGTTGTTTTGTTGGCTCTTATTCATGGTTTTTAGGGTTTTTGTTCCTTTGGTATATTTCTGTATTTTGAGATCTTTAATTCTGAACTCATCTTTCTTGGATTTTTTTGTAGTAATTATTAGAGACCTGAGTTAAAATTTTGTTTCTTTAGTGGATGGAGCACCATGAATACAGGACCATTTCAAGATAAATTTTCTACTTGTGTTTTTGGGTCCCCAGTGGAAATGTGAGTCAATCTGAAATCCATATGAGAAGTAGTTTGTGGTTACAAAGTTCAGGGGAGACTATTATTATTGTTGTTGCTTTCTCCCTGCTACTTGGTATTAAGGCTATATAGACAAGCTACTCTTCTGACCTTTTCAGCATGGTGGTCTAATTTCTCATGAATACTTAAAGGGACTATGACGGCATTTGGAATTCCATACTTACGTACTTGGCAAATTGGATACATCCTTGGCCTTATCTATCTCCTTTCTCTTCTGCCCAGTATAACTCTGAAAACAGTAACTAAGGGTTACAAAATTTCCACAAATACTACCTATTCCATTATTAGTTTACGACTAGGTTTCCTGTAGTTATTTTTATTTGGCTTCAATTTTTTTCCTTGCCAAATAAACAATGCTTGTAAAGGTAGCTGTATTTTTTTTTCTATATATTCTTATCCAGTCTTTCTTAGTTGTTTCCATTGGGAGCAGGATTATCTCATTTCTTCTTGTTCATGATAGTAACCTGCTTTATATTGTGACTGATCACAACAAATATGATAGCCAAGTGAGTGGAAATATCAAATAGTATCTACCATTTTCCCATAAATAATATAAAATAATATATTCTATATTATCTCACCCCAAATCCTTGGAATATTTGATTCCATATGAAATTCCTCTGTGCTATGCCTGTATAAAAATTAAATAACATAACTAGAATATATTCAGGACAGTAGCTGAGAAGAAAATAATGCTAAATGAAGCAATTATTTGTTAGTCTTTTGCTCATCCAACCAAATTTACTTTCTATGAAATAAGAATGTACCCAAAATGAGGCTTGTAAGATTTCTGAAATTCTTCAAATGTATTTTATTAATATTTGTCTTACAGTTTTATTATACATAAAAGTATGACCCAAACTGAAAGCAACTATAATTCTTAAATTCTAATTTGTATACAAATTTGCTTATTAAAGAAAATTAACTGAACTAGAAACTAGGAAACCTTCTTTTAGTCTTGGCTGTTCCATTAACTGTCCTGTGCTTCTACATAATCTATTTGAGTATTCAAGTCATGATCTTTTTATCCATAAAATAAAGAGAATATGGTTAAATATTCAGTAAATTTCTTTACATATTTTAAAACCTTTTTGCAGCTGAACTCCAAAGCAGCTAGCTCTTTTTATGAAATTAGCAATCTCTAGGATAGAGATTATAAAACTGCCACAGAATTGTTTGATTAAAATAATTCACTTATGAATTCTTCATTTAGTAACAGAATACTTGAATTTCAGTTACTACCATCCATAATGAAGTATATTTTCCAACTTTTGTTGTAGCTAGATGTGGTCATAAGACTAATTTCTGGCCAACAGTATAAACACAAATGTGACATATGCAATTTTGAATGTTGCTTATAAAGAGAATGATTGGACTTTCCATTTTTCTCTAATTCTTGCTTGGTGGGATAGTGAAGTGAAAGTAGAAGATAAATAATCATTTTAAATTATTAGATGAAACCTACATCTACAGAATAGCAGAGCAAAAGATAAAAGAAACTTAGGTCTCCAACCATGTAACCACCATATTAGCTTTGATACAGGAGTGAGTTTCTTGATACTTTAGTCATTTTCATGACAGATGACATTTGTGTCAACTAACATAATTATAGATATAATAAAGTAAGCATAAATAATATGTACCTGACACATATTTTTTGTTGACTTATAACTTTCAGAAAACAATGTACCAGCGGTACTGTAATTGAATAAATCACTTCATAAAAGCTGCAAGATATATATTAAGTAGAAGAAGTATTTACAAAATTGTGCGGTTATTTCTTTACATATGGTTTTATAATTTGCAAATTTGCTCTTCTCGTGTTAATTATTTTCTTTAAACCCAAATAACTATGTGCATTATTGTTTTATTGACACTTTACATAAAAGAATACAGAACTTTGATGGTGAAAATATTGAGCCAAACTTAACAATTGCTGGATAAAATATGTACTTTTTAAAAATGTAATTATCAGAAAGAAAAACCGAATATAATCTTAATATTTAGGGGCATAAAGGACTTTGAAGCCCTTATGATCTTTCACCTAAAATAATAAAGTTACCTTTTAAATTGTATATTTTTCTCTAACAGTTTTCTTTCTCTTTTTATAATAGCACGTCATTTAACTAATGAAACTTATAAATTGACATTAGTTATATTAAAATTTATTACTTTAAAATGAAGCAGTATTAAGTCTGTTATGTGGTCAATTGAAGAACCAAGAACCTGTGATTTTATGATTATGGTAATTTCTTTAATTAAAAAGAAAGAAGAAAATATTAAATATAGTAAAGGAAATACATAAAGTTAAATATTAAATAATTTATCCTCTTTGGATATAGTTTATAGATCCTCTCCTTGGTAATTTAATCATTTCCTTCTGTTTATTCCTATTCTTTTTTATCAAGACCTTTTTTTTTCTGGACATACTTTTTATTGTAGAATGAATTTGAACATAGTCCCCTATAAAAGGGAATAGTCTTCCTTCTTTATCTACCATCCTACTGCAACAATGACCACCACGTGCTCAGTCTTATTTCATCTATACTCTCCCCATCCACACAATGTTTCAAAGCAAATTCCAGACACAACAGCATGTTATTGCTAAAATTCTCAGTAAATATCTTTTAAAATAAGCCTCTTCTTCAATGTATTCACAAGACCACAATCACAACTAAACCTATCAATGCTAATTCTTTGTAATGTCTTATTTCCTCAACTAAATCATGCTTAAGGCAGTATTTCTCAGATACAAAGATGCATAAAAAAATTGCAGACCTTATTAAAAATGCAGATTTTGATTAAATGATTCAAGGGTTGAATCTGAAATTTCCCAATTTGATTTTATTGCTTCTTATCACATTATGAATAATAAAGAACTGAAGTACTTTATTGTCTCCCGGAATACTCAGGTCCAAAGTTTTAAATAAAAACAAAGCATATTGACTTATGTTCCACTTTTATTCTTGCAACTACGTTACAAACATTTCTGAAATTTTTCATTTGAAACTTGTTATACTTACAGAAAATTTACAAGTACACAAAATAACTATACATCCTTCGTGCATATTTCCTAATTGTAAATATTTTACCATAGCTGCCAAATCATTCCCCCTCTCTCATTTTTTATCAATACATATTAATATTTTTCTGAAGTACTTAAAAAATCAGACACTGTCTATAATAACCCTTAAAATATTTCCATATTTGGTTCCTAAAACAAGGGCACTACTTGCATAACCAAGTACAATTATCAAAATAAGGAAATTAACATTGATAAAATACTGCCATTGTAAGAGACTTAATTCACTTTGGGTGTTAGATTAAACCCAGGACCATGTGTTGCATTTAGGTAACATGCCTCTTTAGTCTCCTTCAACCTGGAACTGTTCCTCAATATTTCCTCGTTTTTCCTTCCATGACCAAGATACCCTGAAAGATTATGGGTTAATCACTTTGTAGAATAGTTTTTATATTGTGTTAGCAGATAATGAATTCTGGCAGTAATACCACAGAAGTTATACAGTCACCTCTCAGTCAGTGCAATACGTAATGAGGACCACAATGTGCACTTGTCCCATTGCTCATATTATTTTTATCACTTGGTTAATACGTTGTCCATAAGATGTTCACACTTTAACTTTAGTAACATTTTATGGTAAGATATTTTGAGTTTATATAGATATGCTGTTTCTCACAAAACAAATATCAAATAATTTGGAACTTATTTTGAGTCTTGCCTGAATCCATTATTGTCATGATGATTGCCTGCTGGTGGTTCTTTAATTCAATCCTGTCTCTATTCATTTTATTATTCAATATTATTCTGGCAGGTGGAAACTTTTTCTTTCTTTCTTTTTTGGCTGTTTGTTTGTTTTTGTCAGTATGAACTCGAGATTCCTGTCTATTTAATGATTTTTAATCTTTAACTTTCATTATTTATTTTGGTGCTCAAAATTCCCCAGTTTTGGTCAGTTTCTATCCGATCTCAATCTTTCCCATTATTCTTAGATAATTTTCTTCCTGTTTGCCGAAGATTTTTCAGTCTCAATTTTCTCTGTTCTTGCTCCAGCACCACAACCAGCCATTTATTTCCAAGAAACTTGGGTTCTTATTGCTGAGGATTAAGTGTACGCTGTGCTACTAAAGCGCTGTTGATTATAGGTTCTCAACAAATATTAGTTGTATTAAAAGTGAAAAGATTATTTTAGTATAACTGTTGATAAATATAGGTAAAATTTAATTTTATAAATATTACACTCTTTTATTGATAACATATCTTCTTATATAAATAAAATTAGCACTTTTTATTTAAAATTTATATTAATTATAAAAGTGTCAATAAATTCAATGAGCAGAAAATGAGGCATACCTTCTTTTTAATAAGAAAAGGAAACCAACTAAACATCTTTGGTAAAAAAAAAATTTTTAGACAATTCTATTTGCAATTACAATAGATAAATCTATAACTTAAAAAATAGATTCTTACAAGTTTTTCATATGATTATGATAAAGAAATTTGTGTGTAAATGATGAACAGTTCAAGGATTGAGGCCAATTGTGTCACATTGGGTTAAATTTTTTTATAAGGAAGAAAAGCTATTAAAGTTATCCCAAATGACAAACATACTGGTTTAAAAGAAACATGTGCTTTAATTTGTTAAGCTCTAACCTTTTCTGTATTAGAAAAATACTTTGACACAAACACTTTACAAATGTCACCAGGAAATCCATACTCCATTTCTTCACATTGGTTTTGTGACATTGTGCTTGCTGATATTCGACAAGGGATAAGTTGGGATTGATTTCTTCTGCCACTGCTCTTTTCTGTTGTATTATGGGAAATTAAAGGCCTAGAATGAACTGATTCCCTCACAGCCTAAACCCACGAAAGGTAATCATATGTGCTCTCTAGATCTTAAAGGTCAATAGAAATTTTAGAAACAGCACATTACTTTAAAGTAATTATGAAAATATTAAAGTCTGTGAAGGAGAGACATGTTTCTTGCATACTTTATTAAAATGATTTTGCATTTATTTTAAAAACTGATTTTGTATTTTGGGTAGGGGTTCTTAAACTTACTCTCAAGCTATCCTTAGATAAATGCATCCAAAGATGAATATTAAATTCTGGCCTTAATTGTTGTAGAAAATTACGGACAATTGACAGGAGCTCATAGAAAATTGAAGTATTTTTAAATGTCAGGAAAATTCAGTTTAAAGGTAGTAGTGCATTTAATCAATGTAAGAAAAATTTAACCTGGGTAAGATGGAGAATAATGGACTTCTATTACTTCATAAGTAATTTTAATTCAATTACTTTTTGATGAAAGTCTAAACTGGTACAGATTTTTTATGAAGGTACACATAGTGAAATCTCTCAAATTAAGGGATATGCATACATGTGCTTTGACCCAGTCATTTAATTTCTAGAAATATCTCATTTGAAGGTACTTGCAAAATTATGCTGTTATATGCCTTGAGATGTTCACTGCAATACTTTTGAGTAGCAGAAAAAATATTAAATTTGCATTTTATAAGGCAATTTAAATGAATTTTTTACATCTATATGAAGAAATGATATGCAACCATTAAAAATAAAGTTACTCTTCCAGGCCTTAAAGAAAAAATCTCCAAAAGAGATTAATATTTAATATTGATAAAGGCAAAATGTATAATGATGTGTTTAATGTGTTTGCTTCAGTATGAAAAATAGATATACTGCACAGTATGAAGTATTTAAATTATATATGAATGATTTTGGAGAGGTATGAATAGTGGTTACCTTTAGAAAGAGACACTGGGATATGGGGAATGGGGAAAATTTACATATTTCATTTTACATATTTTTCTATGTTACAATTTTCTGACTACATGGTTAAATAGATAAATATATTTTTTTAAAAAAATTAAGTGTTTCAAGTAAATTCAAATAATGGCATAACCTTCTACCAAAGATATTGCTAGATGTTTAAGTAAGAACTGAGAAATTAAGAAATTTTGTGAGGTCTCTGAAAATTGATTCAGATTGATGAAATTTTATGGTTTAGGTTTTAAAAAAAGGAAACAGTGTGCAGGAAACAAATTGTATAGTAACAGATTTTAATTAAAAATGTCCTTTATTTTTAAGAGCATAATCACATAAACAAGTGAATTATAAGCAAACCTATAGCAAAAATATATTTGCATTATTATGTTCAATTGTTTGCTTTAAATATAATCATTATAATGAAAGAATATAAGTAAAAAATGAAAATATGTTGATTATCTTCAAATGTGTATTGCTTTGTTTATTGGACGAAGATGGGTCAGCAGTTTGTCTACCCCCTGTTAAAGTCAAAACATATGGATATGCTGGAGTTAACAAATAAGCGCTATTCACACTAGAATTGTGAATCATAGATTGGCTAACTGTTCCTTCTTGCTGTAGATATAAACATTTTTTTTGTTCTATTGCCTTAACATTTCCACTGTTACTTGCATATGCCCCTCTGCTTCCCCAAACACACAGACACACACACACACACATACGCTTCTCATGACTTGCCATGTACACAAAATCAGGACTTATCACATATTTTGTTAAGTAAAGGCTGCTTGATGGTTACTTCTTTGTGTAAACATGGAGGGTATTTCTGTTTGAAATTAATATCTTAATCAGAAAAGCACATTGCCCTTCATAATGTGAGAGGGCTTTTTCCAATCAATTGAAGGGCTAAACAGAAAAATAAAACTGCCTTTGCCCCGAGTAAGGAAGAATCTTCAGCAGATTGCTTCCAGACTTCATTTATAAAATGGCTCTTTCTGCCTGACTTTCCTCAAACTGGAACGTCAGTTCTTCCAGGGCCTCCAGCAAGCCAGCCCACGTTACAGATTGAACTTGCCTGCCTCCATGACCACATGAGCTAAATCATTATATTATATGTATAATATTATATATATTTATAAGATATTATATATCCTATCTGATATATAAATCTTCTCTTGGTTCTATTTCTCTAGGGAACCCTTACTAATATATGCTGTTATCTGATCTATAGGGTTTACAATAAAAATAGTGGCCTTTATACATACACTAAAATACATTTCTTGTAAGTAAAGAAAATTTCATTAATAGTATTCAAAAAAGAATGTACAAATGATATATTTACATAAATATATAAATAATCCCATTATATACCCTAAAAAGTTTTCTGAAAACAGTTTTTAGAATCCATTGAACAATGTTGTTATAGAGTAGCTCAAACAATGATGGGCCAGCAAATGTGGGTTGAGCAAATGAAGTAATAAGACAAACAATTCAAATACTAGTACATATTTATGTAATTAAATTTCTTTTTCTTGTCCTACGAATAAGTATTCATATTTTCTATTGGCAGTGAAACGCTACAAACCTTGATGACATTTGAATCCAGGTGCCTTTTGTTTCAAGTCAATAGAGCAAGAGCTGTGGAAAAGCAATTCTCTGTAAATGGAATTGTATTAGTGATAAAAACTGATTTTTAGGGCTAGGATCACACTAGCTCTATACCCTGCATCCTAGATAACAAACAGAGATGTTTATGCATTTTATAGGGGGGTGCGTGTGTGTGTGTGTATGTGTGTGTGTTTGTGATTTTAGCAACCTCATAAATCAAGGGGCTTTGGGAGCAACTCCTCTTGCCCATATCTAGGGACAGTTCTAATAAAATCTATACTTACTTTGGGAATCTGAACTGAAAAGTTTATGTCATCTTTCTTTTGTATCTATGAGTAATAAGAATTTAATCAAATAATAACTTCCAAACATGCTTCTTGAACTTTTACTTGATTCATATTTTAATGTTCTTCACATCGCTATGTGCAACTTAAAGTTGTCAGAATGTGACATTTGGAAGTTGTAAATGTTCACTTCACCAATATGTCCCCTTGTTAGTCTGCTACTTTCCAGGAAAAAATATTCTGTGTTATATGCTGACATTAATTTTTAAATGACATGGATCAATGACCAAACAGTTTAAGTATTTATTTCCCTGGATATATATTATCCTATTGCTTAGTAGATGTCAGTGATAGATACTTACACCTTTCTGATTAAGCGCCTGTTGAACTTTAGATTGCAATAATCAGAGGGCTGTTTAATTTAAATTTTAGATTATTTGAAAAGTCTTCAGCCAAAAAAAATTATAATATGTGATGATTACTGTAGATGTTATGAAAAAGGCTGTTAAATCCAGTGGGAATGTTCATCAGCATACTGTAATCAACAGCTAGAGAGAATGCTTAATTACAGTTATTTGGGTGACAAGTTGATGTAGTAGTGGCATTGAAAGCAGAAAAGGATGCCTGGATTAACACTTGCAACATGTAAGAGGATATGAAAATGCATCAGTATCGAAGAGAATGTCTCATTAAATGACTGTTTATATTAATCTATCTTGCTCTACAAATTCCAAATGCAATCCTCACCATTACTTCACTTAAATTTATCTCAGAGAGAAACACTTTACTTTGTGTGAGAAATAACATTTTAGATATTAAAGAAGGAAACTTATTTTATTCATTTTATTTTTTTTGTTTTTACTTTATTTTCATAACTTATCCAGTGTTTATTTATTTAAAAAATAACTTTGATTTGTTTATCACCTTATTTCAAATTCTTGGCAGTGTAGAAGACATGCAATTATTTTTGACTTATTAAATAAAATTTTATTATAGCCTATGTCTTTTTAAAAGACATCTTTAAAGGTTCTTATTTATCTTTCATCGTGTTTATAAATAATTAAATTCACACAAAGCACTTTTACATTACTGGCATATTAGTTTCCTATGGCTGTTCTAACAAATTACTTCAAACCGTGTGGCTGAGAACAACATCAATCTATTCTCTCATAATTCTGGAGTACAAAAGTGTAGGTATTAACAAGGCAGCTATTCCCACCAGAGGCTCCAGTGGAGATTCCATTCCTTGTATCTTCCAGCTCCTAGAGGCTGTGAGCATTCCTGGGTTTGTACCTGCATCACTCCAGTCTCTGACTTCATGGTCACATTGCTTCCTTCTCTTCTCTGTTGATTTCTCTTCTCTGTCTCTTATAGGATACTTGTCATTGAATTAAAGATCCAGCCGGATAATCCAGGATGACTTCATCATCTCAACATCCTTAAGTGGACTGTATCCGCCAATACTCTTCTTTCAATAAGGTAATATACATAAGTTCCAGGGTTAGGATGTGCACATACCTTTTTTGAGAGCTGTCAGCCCATTGCAACTGGCTTATCTGATAGTATAGTCTATATTGCATTTCCTATTGGGAACAACACATAGTTTCTGAAAGCAGATTCTAATAGCGTATGGCAGATTAATTAAATATGATATACATTAGAATACTGTATTATGTCATGTTTCAATATTGAGAATAAATGCTATATTTTTGGGTTAGAACCAATTCCGTAAATAGCAACTTTAATTTTAACAGATCATTACTTCTTTAAATCAACTTATTTTATTATCTTTAATTTTTGTGGGTGCACTGAAATACTTTATCCGTACTGATTATAAAAATGAACACTTTTTTAGCTTCATGAAATGATCATGTAGTTATTTTCCCATTCTATAAGCCAAGTGCTGTGATTAGCAAGAAAATAAAACCTCTGCAAGTATTTAGAACTCTAGTAAATAAAACATAATAGAAAATAACAATGTAATTGTAATATAATACAATATTGTTGTTTGAATACAAGTGTACACATACATATATTATATAATAGAATAGAGAAAATTATAATTCACCTTTGTCAGTGAGCACAGAAGGCAAAGTTTCAGGGAGTTATGTGGTATCTGAGAAATTCTTTGTAAGACAAATAAGAGTTTGACAAACAAAAAAGGCAGTATAGACAGAAAGAAACAGTGACAGAAAGAAACAGTGACAGGAATGGAGTTATAATGATATCCACTTGCTATATAATAAATGGGGTGGCAATAGAATGATCATGTTGGGATTTCTTTATGTCTTGTTATGATGGTTGGACTTCTGATTGGTAAAGGAAACAAAAATTCTAAAAGGAAAAGGGCATGAAAATATAAAATTTGTATTTTAGGGGAATTATTTGATAATACTGTAAAACGAAAGTTAAGAGTCCTTAAGATTTGAAGTCAGGAGATATGCTTCCTTATCGATTCCAATGAGAGTTAATAACAATCAGATTTTTAAAAAGAAAAGTATAGATGAAAATAAAAATATGATTATAAAAAGTTTATTATATATTAAAAAGAGCATTTGCAAAATAAATTATAATTTAAGCCTTCTGCATATAAACCACATGACAAGGCAACTCCAAGACACTGAAACTAACCTATAGAATTCATGTTAACAATTAATTTTACTGCAATTAGTAAAATAACTATGAGAAATATTTGAGCTACTAGATGATCTGATACTTCAAACAGCAGTAATCATATGGGACATATTCTGTCATTATAATAAAATGAAATAACATTTTTTAGAAAATGTTTTTCACTTTAAAAACTAAAAAAAATAGGTTAATGAATAATGCAGTCAATAATTTGACAGGCAAAGAAAATACAAATTCTAAATATTAAAAAGATCAGATACCACCAAAGGTATTCTTACAGGTCTATCTATGTTGTTAAACATTTTTATTATTAGAAAATAAGCATTTTATAGCAATGTTTACATAAATAATTAAAAAGTATATTAGAAGATTCCAAATCAAAAATAAAAGAGAAATTAAGAAATGAACAAAGAAAAACTGAGAAAAATCAATGAGCAATAAAAAATTGTTTTTGAGGATATATTTTTGAGTAATAAAAATAATGAAAACTGTTCTAATCGGATTTAAATCTGTAAGTTTATAAGATTGGATTATTAGTACTTTATGTACATATAAGTCTTTTGTTGAGTATATTTTTCAAAGGGTGGAAGAGGAAAAGGAGGAAGGGGAAGCAGGGGAGAGAGAGAGAGAGGGAGAGAGAGAGAGAGAGATGGCAAGCTGCACAATTCTGTTAATTAAAGTAACATTGTGTATTACTCTTAATAAATCTTTTTTTTATTATACTTTAAGTTCTAGGGCACATGTGCACAATGTGCAGGTTTCTTACATATGTATACATGTGCCATATTGGTGTGCTGCACCCATTAACTTGTCATTTACGTTAGGTATATCTCCTAATGCTATCCCTCCCCCTTACCCCCACCCCACAACAGGCCCCAGTGTGTGATGTTCCCCTTCCTGTGTCCATGTGTTCTCATTGTTCAATTCCCACCCATGAGTGAGAACATGCAGTGTTTGGTTTTTTGTCCTTGTGATAGTTTGCCGATAATGATGGTTTCCAGCTTCATCCATGTCCCTACAAAGGACATGAACTCATCATTTTTTATGGCTGCATAGTATTCCATGGTGTATATGTGCCACATTTTCTTAATCCAGTCTATCATTGATGGACATTTGGGTTAGTTCCAAGTCTTTGCTATTGGGAATAGTGCCTCAATAAACATACATGTGCATGTGTCTTTATAGCAGCATGATTTATAATCCTTTGGGTATATACCCAGTAATGGGATGGCTGGGTGAAATGGTATTTCTAGTTGTAGATCCCTGAGGAATCACTACACTGTCTTCCACAATGGTTGAACTAGTTTACAGTCCCACCAACAGTGAAAAATTGTTCCTATTTCTCCACATCTTCTCCAGCAATTGTTTCCTGACTTTTAAATGATCACCATTCTAATTGGTGTGAGATGGTATCTCATTGTGGTTTTGATTTGCATTTCTCTGATGGCAAGTGATGATGAGCATTTTTTCATGTGTCTTTTGGCTGCATAAATGTCTTCTTTTGAGAAGTGTCTGTTCATATCCTTCGCCCACTTGTTGATGTGGTTGTTTGGTTTTTCTTGTAAATTTGTTTGAGTTCTTTGCAGATTCTGGATATTAGCCCTTTGTCAGATGAGTAGATTGCAAAAATTTTCTCCCATTCTGTAGGTTGCCTGTTCACTGTGATGGTAGTTTCTTTTGCTGTGAAGAAGCTCTTCAGTTTAATTAGATCCCATTTGTCAATGTTGGCTTTTGTTGCCATTGCTTTTTGTGTTTTAGTCATGAAGTCCTTGCCCATGCCGATGTCCTGAATGGTATTGCTAGGTTTTCTTCTAGGGTTTTTATGGTTTTAGGTCTAACATTTAAGTCTTTAATCCATCTTGAATTAATTTTTGTATAAGGTGTAAGGAAGAGATCCAGTTTCAGCTTTCTGCATATGACTAGCCAGTTTTCCCAGCACCATTTATTAAATAGGGAATCCTTTCCCCATTTCTTGTTTTTGTCAGGTTTGTCAAAGATCAGATGGTTATAGATGTGTGGTAATATTTCTGCGGGCTCTGTTCTGTTCCATTGGTCTATATCTCTGTTTTGGTTCCAGTATCATGCTTATCCACCATGATCAAGTGGGCTTCATCCCTGGGATGCAAGGCTGGTTCAACATATGCAAATAAAAAAACGTAATCCAGCATATAAACAAAACCAAAGACAAAAACCACATGATTATCTCAATAGATGCAGAAAAGGCCTTTGACAAAATTCAACAGCTCTTCATGCTAAAAACTCTCAATAAATTAGGTACTGATGGGATGTATCTCAAAATAGTAAGAGCTATCTATGACAAACCCACAGCCAATATCATACTAAATGGGCAAAAACTGGAAGCATTCCCTTTGAAAACTGGCACAAGACAGAGATGCCCTCTCTCACCACTCCTATTCAATATAGTGTTGGAAGTTCTGGCCAGGGCAATCAGGCAAGAGAAAGAAATAAAGGGTATTCAATTAGGAAAAGAGGAAGTCAAATTGTCCTGTTTGCAGATGACATGATTGTATATCTAGAAAAACCCCATCGTCTCAGCCCAAAATCTCCTTAAGCTGATAAGCAACTTCAGCAAAGTCTCAAGATGAAAAATCAATGTGCAAAACTCACAAGCATTGTTGTACACCAATAACAGACAAACAGAGAGCCAAATCATGAGTGAACTCCCATTCACAGTTGCTTCAAAGAGAATAAAATACCTAGGAATCCAAGTTTCAAGGGATGTGAAGGACCTCTTCAAGGAGAACTACAAACCACTGCTCGATGAAATCAAAGAGGATACAAACAAATGGAAGAACATTCCATGCTCATGAGTAGGAAGACTCAATATCATGAAAATGGCCGTACTGCCCAAGGTAATTTATAGGTTCAATGCCATCCCCATCAAGCTACCAATGACTTTCTTCACACAATTGGAAAAAACTACTTTGAAGTTCATATGGAACCAAAAAAGAGCCCGCATTGCCAAGTCAATCCTAAGCCAAAAGAACAAAGCTGGAGGCATCACGCTACCTGACTTCAAACTATACTACAAGGCTATGGTAACCAAATAAATCTTAAGTTGTTGATACTTTCAATTGACTTGTTCTTTACGCCAAAATGTCACTAATTGAGAGAATATTTTTTCTGCAATTATTCAAGTCCCTACGATGCTCGGAGCAAGTTTTGCTAAATGAGGACTTTCTGAGTTTCAATTATTTTCATTCCAAAATGTTTACACATTTCAGCAAAAAATTTTCTTGGGTATCATTTGTTGACAAACTTTTGTAAGACAGACTCACTGAAAGACTTATCTCTATAATTCTTTCAAACATTTCACCATTATTTAATTAAATAAAGCCCTACCTCATTAACGTCTTTTGATTCAAATGTAAAACATAATTTTAAGCAGCTAAGAAAAGATTGAATCGAAAAGTTATTTTCGCTCATTACAGTGGCTCAGGCCTGTAATCCCAACACTTTGGAAGGCCTAAATGGGAGGATCGTTTGAGGCCAGGAATTCAGTGTTACAGTGAGCTATGACTGTACCACTGCAATCCAGCCTAGATGACAAAGTGAGACCTTGTCTCTAATAAAATGAATAAATTTTAAAAAATATTTGTTAATAAGACGAGAGATTTGAAAGCACAAATGGATACTTTTAAAATTAAGTTCTGTATACCATTTGCGTTATTAACTACACTTCGGTAGGATTACTTTAAACGTCATCTTTTTTGCAAGCTATAGTTTCCATAATGCAACTTTCTAAGGCCTATGAAAGATAAAGTTTGGCACTCCTTCCAATGAAGAATTTGTTTTAAGATTTTCCAAGTTATTTTAAGAAATGTAAAACCAAACTTTAGAGGGCTGTCAATTCATTAAATATCATTTTAAGACACAAATATTCCTGAAATTCAGTTTACTACTAACAGCAAAAAGAAGTTGACATCTGAACATACTGAATCTCTTTCACCCAGTATCAGCCTTGCCATAAAAGTGTATCACTGTAGTTATTCTAAATCTTTATACCTATAATATTGGCTCACTTTGACAATTATGGCTTTTGGTTTTAGAGAATGCACAAAATTGTTTAGATGCATAATAAATTAGATTTAAACCAAAATTTTATATATAAAAACTAGTTTTTGTATTACCAAACAGAACAGATAGAATGATAATATGAACTGGGTAAAATGGTAGACATAATTTTTAAAATATCAGGCATTACATTAAATGCAAATGGATTAACTATACTTATTAAAAATAACTTCAGACTGGATTTTTAAAAGTCAGCTTTATATGGCTTAATATACATATATATGTATATTCTGTATACCATATATATGTGATATTGAAAATAAAACCATGTAAAAACATATAATCATTAAGAAAAAAGAAAGCAGCCATAGCTATATAAATATCAATCAAATTGACTTAAGGTAAAAATCATAATGAAAATAAAGAATACTTCATAATGATAAAAGTTTCAATTAAACATGAGTTGCAACAATTCTAAATTTTATGTATCCAATAGCATAACCACAAAATATACAACAAAAATAAAGCTACACAAAGAAATGGAAAATTCAAAATTATGTAAATAATTTTTAACACATCTATTAATAAAAACAGAAGTAAATAACCATTAAAATTTGATCACAATTAGTAAATTGGATAAATGGGCAAAAATATAAGAACACGTGTAAGAATAGCAGAGTGTACACCTCAAACACACAGAGAATCTTTACGATAAAATGGACTGTCTGCTGAACCACAAAGTCTAAACAGCTTTTCTTGTTACTTTCATCTGTATTGTTTTCTCTTTAGCATGTTGGGGCATGTGACATAGAAGCTGACTCTAAAATTAATGTGCTAATCAAAATACATTATTGAAGCAAATTAAGATAGGAGAATTGCTATATCAAGACTTATAAACTTACAATAGTTAATACAGGGTGGCTTGGGAGCAAGTGACAAATGGGCCCACTGAATAGGATAAAGAGCCCATAAGGAACTTATTGTCTTTTAAAAAAATGATCCTGGGTCTGGGCGCTGTGACTCACACTTGTAATCCTAGCACTTTGGGAGGCCGAGGCGGATAGATCACAAGGTCTGCAGTTCGAGACCAGCTTGGCCAATATGGTGAAATCCCGTCTCTACTAAAAATATAAAATTTACCCAAGTGTGGTGACAGGCACCTTCACTCCCAGCTACTCGGGAGGCTGAGGCAGGAGAATCTCTTGAACCCGGGAGGCAGAGGTTGCAGTGAGCCGAGATTGTGCCACTGCACTCCAGCCTGTGCAACAGAGCGAGACTTTGTCTCAAAAATAAATAAATAAATAAAAATAAGAATAAATGATTCTTGGTCAACTGGATGCCCATACTAAAAAGGAAAAAGCAATTTGGTCTCCACCTTAACTATCGGTAAGGAAAGAAAATCTAATAGATAAATAACCAAGAGGCTTGAATAAACATTTGGGAACAAAGGAAGATACCAAATATTAATTAAACGTAAGAAAAGGTGCTCAACCTTAATAAACCTCAGAAAAACTGACATTTAAACCACAGTGAGATACTATTATATGCCTCTGCAATAAGTAAAATTTAAAACACAAATAAACCTAAATGTTAGCAAGTATTTTGCATGCTTTGAGTTTTCATATATAGCTGATAGGAATGTAAAGGAACAGGCATTTTGGAAAACTATGACATCATTCCAGTAACGTTTAACATATTCATATACCATGACATAGCAATTTCACCACTATATAAATATCCAAAATGAATGTGCATATATGTGTACCAAAGGACATATAAATGAGTTTTTATAAGCGCATTAATCATAAAAGTCACAAATTGGTAAGAACCCATGCCCATCAATAGTAGATGCATGAGTAAATTTTGATTTATTTGAACAACAGAACATTAAGCAGAAATAAGTACAAACAAAAGGAACAGTTATACTCAATAACATAAGTATTTCTCACAAACATAATATTGGGTTTAACATGCAAATAATTTAAAAATACATAATTGTATATATATATTTAAAAATAATGAACCTATAGTATTCATGAATGTGTATTTAGAAGTTAAGTATGTAAAGAAAAACAAATTAGGGAGGCTGAGGCAGGACAATGGCGTGAACCCGGAAGGCAGAGCTTGCAGTGAGCCAAGATTGCACCACTGCACTCCAGCCTGGGTGACAGAGTGTGACTCTGTCTCAAAAAATAAAAGTGAAAAACAATTAGGGAGGCTGAGGCAGGAGAATGGCGTGAACCTGGGAGGCAGAGCTTGCAGTGAGCCGACATCACGCCACTGCACTCCAGCCTGGGCGACAGAGCGAGACTCCGTCTCAAAAACAAAGAAAAGAAAGAAAGAAAGAAAGAAAAACAACTTAGAAGTTAATGGTAACTTCCTTAAGGACAAGATAGTGATGACTTTGGTGGGAGGTGTGGGCCTGTGTGGCTGAAACAAAGTTAGAGACATGGCACAAGGACTACTTCTGTGGTCCTGTCACTGATCTATTTCTTGACCTGGGTGGCTTCTACATGGTTCTTCACTTTGTGATAATCAATTGTGCTAAATATTTTATTGATTTTCCTTATGTGTATCATATTTCAATACTCATCTTTTAGAAAATATTAGTCAACACAAGTTTTTAAAAACTTTATTATTTTCATTGTAAATTGACAAATTATAGTTGTATAAATTTATAGAGTAATCAAAGTAATGTTATGATTTATAAATACGATGTGGAGTATTTAAGTCAAGCTAATTAACATAATAGTTACCACAAAGATACATCATTTCTTATGGTGAGAACATTTAAAATTTACTCTGTTAGCAATTTTGAAATGTAGAATACATTATTTTTTACTGTAATCACCCTACTGTGTAATATATCTCAAAGTATTAAAAAAAACCTTTATTCCTCCTAATTGAGGCTTTGTACCCTTTAACTATCATCTCCCCACCTCCCTGCTCCCTAGCCTCTATAATAACCATTCTATTCTCTGCTTCTTTGACTTTGGTTGTCTTAGATTCCATATAAGTGAGAACTTGCAGTGTCTGTGTCTTCGTGTCTGGTTTATTTCACTTAACATAATGTTTTCCAATTTCATCTGTGTTGTTACAAATGACATTTCTTGCTTTTTAAGGTTGAAAATTATTCCATTGTGTATATATACAACTTAAGTAGATTTACAGGGCTGATATTTATAAAGAAGATGAATCTTTCACAGTTAATACATAAATTGATTCTATTATACACTAAAAAATAAAGTGCGAGAATAAAGTGGCATCAAATTTGGAAAAATAATATTTAATGTAAGCAATTGTGATGCAGGAGAGGCAAGCCCCAAAACAGGGGCTTGGTCTAGGAGGGTTCTTGGCTTTTTCCAGGAAAGAATTCAAGGGTGAGCCAATGGCATTAGACAGCAACTTCTATTTAAGCAACAGCATAATGCAGCAGCAGACTTACTGCTTCTTGCAGAGCAGCGCTACCCAATAGGCAGTGTGCCCAGAATACCAGCTCAAAGGCTGGTCTGCATTCATATTTATACCCGCTTTTAATTACATGCAAGTTAATGGGCAATTTTTGCAGAAATTTCTAGAAAATGGGTGGCATCTTCTGAGTTTTTGCCACGGAAAGGGGCAGTAACTTCTGAGTGTTGCCATGGCAACAATAAACTGAAATGGCACACTGTTGAGTGTGTCTTATGGGAAGCTGCTTCTGCCCAGCACCTGTTTTAGCTATTCCTCAGTTTGGTCCCGTGTCCAAGCTCCCTGCTTTAGAGTCCAGTCCTACCTCCTACCTCCATTAAAACAAAGTATTAATAATTTAGAAAACAAACATTAACATAATTAACATAAAATAATTATAATGAATTAAAAATTAACTAATGCTCAAAGAAAATGAGGATAAGAAATACAGGTGAATGTTCAGTGAGCTGAGATCACACCACTGCACTCCAGCCTGGGTGACAGAGCAAGACTCCGTCTCAAATAAAAAAAAAAAGAAGAAGAAATATAGGTGAATGTTATCAACACTTGCTCAAATACAGAATACATAAGTATGAGGAAAATAAAGGGTTTGTGAAGTAAATTATTGATACATTTAATTATTTAAATAATACATTGGTCATTCAAATAGTTAAATTTTTTTGTTAAATATAAAACATGGAATACCATGCAGCCATAAAAAAGGATGAGTTCATGTCCTTTGTAGGGACATGGATGAAGCTGGAAACCATCATTCTGAGCAAACTATCACAAGGACCAGAAACCAAACACTGCATGTTCTCACTCATAGGTGGGAATTGAACAATGAGAACACTTGGACACAGGGTGGGGAACATCACATACCGGGGCCTGTTGTGGGGTGAGGGGAGCAGGGAGGGATAGCACTGGGAGATATACCTAATATAAATGATGAGTTGACGGGTGCAGCACATCAACATGGCACATGTATGCATATGTAACAAACCTGCATGTTGTACACATGTACTCTAGAACTTAAAGTATAATAATAAAAAAATAGTTAAAGGCATTTTCAAGACAGATATATAAAACAAATATGACAGAGTAAAAATATGTGTTAATAAAAGCATCAAGACTAAATTTAAAAGATAGTGAAATATATAGAAAATTCACTAAAATGAAAATATATTTATTAAATAGCTGAAGTATTTTCAAACGAAAACAAAAGAAGACAAAACAAAGTAAAATTCTCTATATTACATATGCAATTTTTAAAGTCATTACCTAATGTCAGCAATGATGAGACTAAATTAACACTCTTATGTAACACTGTTAGGTATGAAATAATAATCAGAATTTGGATATTTATGGGTATTTATGTTTGATAACTGCCCTTTTTTCATATATACACATTTATATTTACAGGTACATTTGCACATATATACACATACACATCTGTATACACATCTGTGTATATACATAGATATATATAATCAATATCAATATCTGCACATATAATTATATTTTAATAGATGAGCAAAGCAGATAGGAAGACTAGTAGTACTTGGATCTTGTTAATATTATTTAGTTTGATATATGTTCACACATTTTTCTATGTCATTGAATACACTACAAACCTCCAATTTAAGGTCTATAAAATTTCTCTTATTAACAAAAAGTTTATACTTAAAGGATGTTACCCTCTTACCAGTCTAACTCTGCATTTTTGTTACTGTCACGCAATATGTTCCTATAGGTAGCAATTTATATCATTGAGTCAATTGATATCATTTATTATTAGAAATGCTGAGAATTTTATTTGTCATAATGCAGTATCAAAATTCTCACAAAGCAATTATACTCATAATAAAATTTACTTTGTTTAAGATATATGTGCCTGATACGTTATGGTTAGAGAGAATGAGATACCCAGACCAGTCGCTGGGCTGAATGAAGAGCTGTGGAAAAATGAGAGTGACTTGCCCTAAACTTTATTGGCAGCTAAACAGAATGAAAACATTAAGAGAGAGAGGGGGAAAATAGTAAATCCAGGGGGACAGGAAACAATTACCAGAGGCAACAAAAACAAATTCTTAGAGCCAGTATGAAAATAATCAATTTCACAAAAAAGTTTGCTCACAGTTGAGAGAAATGTTTTTAGATATCATTAAGTAATTAAATATTTTTCCACCTGATGGCTAAATGAGAGAAGGGAAGTTAAAGTAAATAAATAATTTAAATTTGGTGGAAAAGATTTGCCACAGCCATTGACTGAATGGGAGTGGGACATAAATTTTAAAAAGCAAAATAACTGATGAAGAATGAAACACTAATAAGATTGGAAGTCATAAGTATTTCTTGCACCAATATTCAGGATATTAAAATCTCAGAATTGATGACCTGCTAGAAGTGGAGAGGAATACATTGTATGATCTACTTAAATAAGTCTCAATAAATTAAGTAAGAGAAGATAAAGCAGAGTGACAGAATAGATACTAAAATGGACATGTCCTATTATATTAGTCCATCATGGAGATAGGATATCTGAATTTCTAGAAACTTGGTCTCCTACGATGTAGCTATACAAGCCTCCACATTACCTTAATGTGAAAAAAAAGACAAAAAAATTATATGGTTTTAGTAATTGTGTGGCATTTTCTACATTCATTTTCAGCTTCTTCCCTTCACATCTGTCTTTCCTTTAGAGGAATAAAATCACACTCAGTTTTAAAATCAACTGGAGAGCATAGGAATGTATGCTTATGTCACTAAATATACTTCTCAAACGATCAAATATCATGGTATGGTGGCATAGCATGCATTTTCAGTGGTGGCAGTTTCACTTTTGCATATATGAATAGTATGAAAAAATATCTTAACAATTTACTACCAAAAATAGTTGTAAAAATTATGACTGGGCACAGTGGCTAACGTGGGTAATCCCAGCACTTTGGGAGGCTAAGGTGGAAGGATTACTTGAAGCGAGGAGTTTGAAACCAGCCTGGGCAACAAAGCAAGACCCTTATCTACAAACAAACAAACAACAAAACCCAAAAACACAGTTTATGCAGCCATAGAATAACTAAATTTGTAAGACATTTAAAAGGGAACAAGTTAGGAAAAAAATTGAAACCTGTCAATTCTTGGTGCATTTCCTATCCCTGTATTTGCAATGACCATTCAAAAGACAAGCCCCTGTGCCATCACTTGGGTTAATTCTCTAACATTCTTCCCCTCTCCTTATTGCTGTGTACTTTCTCCCTCCCTCTTCAAATCCTTAACCTCAATCCACAAAACCTGTTTTCTCTAATTGCATTTCATTATAAAGGAACATCTTCCAGAAATCTGTTTCCTCTTTGCCAAATGCTCTATTCACAAAATGTCTCTATATCCCATATCCAAATCTGGTCACATAGTATCATGTCAGTGTAACCTATTGAATTCCTGCTTTCCAACTCAAGCAGCTTGAGAATTTTGTAACCTAGAAGAAAACATTTTACTTCACCCCAACTCCTGCCTTCAACCATCTCATGACAGTTTGTGTAAACTGCTTACCCTGAATCCTTCACACATTTTTTCCAGAGATTTTTATCCTCATTGTATCAAAACTCCCCACATTGCTGAACTCAGCATCTTGTCAGCTGCCTTGAATGAAGTTGTAGAGACAATATAACTACGGAGAGCTTCTCTTTCAGTTCCCCATCCAGCACCAATCCATAACCTAGGAGCCAAGCACTGCTGTAAATTCTCATTTAATGATGGGATCAACATTTCTCTGTGGTATTTGACATATTTATTATTTATTCTCAAAATACTGTGTATGTATTTGTGTGTGTTTATAAATGTGTGTACATATATGTATGTGTCTATCATCTATCTATCATCTAGCTATTATCTATCTATTTATCTATCTGAGAACACAGTCCTTTATTTTTCTTTCTAACTCACTTATTGTACCCTAGTGGTCTACTTTATGGATTCTACTCCCTTTACCTTCCCCTAAAAGTCAGGTTCCATTTAGTTTATGGGCTCTCCCTCTAAGTTCTAAATGACTCTTGATATTTTAAATATCTTCTATAATCAGGTACTCCCAAATATAGGTGGCTAGTCTACAACTTGTCTGCAAGTTTCTGTGCTGGATGATTTGGTACACCTGTATTAAAATCTATGCAATATATAATATTTATATAACGTATCTACTATGTTCCAGGCACTGATCTAGAAACTGAGGTTGCAGTGGTGAAAAATCAAGCAAGATGTATACCTCCTAGGAGATTGTGTCATAATAATTATTTGATAATTTGCAAATAAACTATATTTACATACATAACATATACTGAATTAAATAACTTTATAATTACACATATAACTATCAGATTTATTTATAATTATAAAGTCATATAAAGTTTATACATGAAAGTACATAGTTGTATATATTTATAATTTCATATATTTATAAATATTTAGGAAAGAAATGTATTAAACATGAATATTACCCAGAGAATGAGAAGTAAAGTAAATGCCAGTCAACATCAGTTCTTTATCTCATCTTCATTTCATCTCACCCTCAACTACAATGCAAGAGAGCCAAGTGCTCCAGGTAGGAGGTAGAAAGGAAGAATTCTGTCCCACTTCCCAGGCCATAGTTTTGTGGAGAAGGTTTAATATTAGGCAAGATTGGAGTTTGACTACTATCTGGGAATGGACATTTTAATTACTGAATTTAATTTGTAATTTAAAGTTATTATAGGACTTTCTAGGACTGACCATAACAGTCATGGGATCTATTGAGTTTTTATCCAGTGCCTTAGAAAGAACTTCCTCCTATGAACATATTTAAAGAATAAAGGACAAAATAAGTAAGCTTTATTTCGAATTCAAGTAAGGTATGGTATAAAGTAGAGAAAGAAACATGAGATTCATCCCATGTGCCTTGTCTGTTCTATATACTGGTTATAATGTGATGGAAATAAAATCTAGTAGGATAGAGAGTGACAGAGGGAGAGGTTGGAAACATTATATAAGATAGTCGTTGAAACACTTCCCAGCTGTATTTTTAATTACTTTGCATATCTTTCTTATGAAAAATTAAATTGTTTTATTTCATGCCTAACATACTTAAAACTAGATTTATTACAAAATATGGTTTGGCCATGTCCCCACCCACATGTCATTTTGAATTGTAATCCCCATAATCCCCACGTGTCATGGGAGGGACCTGTTGGAAGGTAATTGAATCATTGGGGCCGTGTCCCGCATGAGGTTCTTGTGATAGTGAGTGAGCTCTCGAGATCCGATGGTTTTATAAGCATCTGGCATTTCTCCTGCTGGCACTCATTCTCTCTACTCCTGACCTGTGAAGAAGTGCTTTCTGCCATGGTTGTAAGTTTCCTGAGGCCTCTCCAGCTATGCAGAACTGTGAATCAATTAAACCTCTTTTCTTTATAAATTACCCAGTCTTAGGTATTTCTTCATAGCAGCATGAGAATGGACTAATACATTGTATTTTCTAGTCTTTCCTTGCTTCTTGTATATGTCTCCTCAACTGTGAGAGTAAGCAGTTCAGCAACCTTACCTGACCCAGGCCCTCGGGTTTGGCTATCTTCAGCTGGATTTAAGAGCCGCATGAGCTGATTTTCACTAAGAACTGCTGAGCAATGATGTAAAAGACTGTATTGAAGATGGTGAAGGTGGAGTTGGCAGTAGAATGAACAGTCAGAAAATGAGGTTACGGCCAGGAAGAATACATCATTGTCCATGGCAGACATTTCCAGTAGAGATTAAAAAATGGAGTAAGTGGTAACAAGAAAGAAAAATGTGAGACTTCTCCATTTACGTGATCTGAAGATTCAGATTTATCATATATAGAATCAGGAAGAGACCTCCTGTTTGAGATTCTATTTTATGGTCTCTTTCTGCCATATATATAGGAAGAGAAATACCATCATTATTCAAACCACACAAACTGGAACCCTGGAATTTTCCTAGAATTCTCTTTCATATTCATCTCCTTCCCCATACCAGCATTCCCACCTAATCAATAATAAAGTTGTATAGATATTAATTTTTAAATAAGTCTTGTTTCTGATCCCCTTGCTAACCATACTAACATGATATATGCCCTTTCATATTTTTATGGACACTATGATATGTGATTTCCCTGATTTAAATCTTGCCCCTAGTTCAGATTATGTTTATACTTCTTCCATGTGAAGAAATTTAGAAAAAATCTGGCCACCAAACTCACCTGGTTAAATTCAATCAATGTCTACCCAATGTTCTCTGTATAAAGTTCTGTTCAATAAATTGCATTCAAGGCCCACAGTTATCTAGCTCTGACCACAGCCTCACTTACTTCCTAATCCTTATGTATCTTTGCTCATGTTCCTCATTTTCCCTGCATGCTCTTCCTGTTCTTCTTTACCTGCACAAAGTTATCTGAATCTTTCCCTGATTTGGGCCTGGATCTCTTTGGATTAGATCTCCTTCCTTGGTGTTGCTGGAATATAACTTAAGAAGAGTGCTTTAGTGCATTACATTAAAAACATCCCTTTAGATTATTCAACAACCCAACAGAACATAAATCTAACAATTTGCATAAATCTCATAATCAGCATGTTAAATGAAAAAAAATCCAGATATTAAAGGCTACATACTTCATGAGTTCCCTTATATAATTTCTAGAAAACACAAAACTACAGTGACAGAAAAAACAGATCATTATTTAATTTTGAGAAGAAATCAAATGTAATTTACATGAAGGACAATTGTTACAAAACTGCAAGTGTTTTTAAAGAATATTCCCATAGATCAGTTCTAAATGAAGCCAATGATTCCTTTCAAACTTTATCTAGAATTGTGGAATTCTTGTCAGTCAAAGTTCCTGCTGTGTATAAGCTTCACAATTCAGTACTCATTCTGTTCTGACTTTCATATTCAAAGACTAAACCCGGCAGCATATGAGCTGCATTGCTCCCCAATGCTTATTTTATCAAAGAAAAATGAATGTCAAAAGAGTCAAATATTTGTATGCCTTAGGGCAGATATTGTTGGTTTGGATTTTAAGAAACATAAATTCTGAGTTCTCTGCCAATAACAGAATATGCCTACCACGCATCTAGCTGTTTATTGTTTTAGGTTACCAAATGATCACATTTTCAACACAATGAATTAATTCTTGTCATAAAATATTTTTCTGATAATTACTATACTTTGTCTACCCTAACTGTTTTTCCTTACTTCTGAAAACATTTCAGTGAACTGCATTCCTAAATAGGTGTCAGAGTATTTGGATCCTTAAAGGTATGGCATTAGATTAAGTAGTTAATTGTATTTTTGAGTTATTTAAATATAATTAAACAATCATGCTGTCTATATATTATTAAGACTTTAAAAAGTTCTAGTACACCAACTTCTACCTCTCTGAGCGAGCTGCAAATCATAGGCACTTATCTAAATTTGTAGTATATATTGATTTTTGACAACTAATTGAAAGTTTTTTTAGTCCTTTATGTGTTATCTGCAACCATTTCAGAAATACCAATAGCAACTAGCCTTTAACTTCTCTGAACAACAATTCTTCTTCAATAAAATATTTATCTTAAAACAATAGAAATCCCAAATGCGATCATTTGGGAGATGTTTGGATGCAACTAAAGAAGTACCTTGAATCAAACTGGCTCATATAACAAAGCAGAGGTTCGTTCCCAAAATGTGGTCCCCAGAACAGCAGCATCAGCATTGCCTGGGAACTTGTCGAAATGTAAATTTTTTAGCCCCATCATATAATAGATCTACTAAATCAGAAACCTGACGGCTGGACATTGCATTATTTGTTTTAACAGACTGCAAGATGATTCTCAGAATCTGCAATAAAAATATATTACATTACTTTAAAAACAGCAAACACAGACATGTGGCAGTGTCTCATTTGTAAAATATTAATTTAGGGCTTGTAGACAGACACTGCCTGGCAAAATTTTCAAAGCGAGTATTGAGAACAAAATTTAGTTTGAAACATAAGCTTTTGTTTAGGTATACAAACTATTTCAATACAAAAAGTGTTTGCATGGGTTTGCAAATATGTCCTAAAGAAACAATGAAGTTTTTGTTATTGTCGTTTTGTACTATAGCCTTATCTTCCTGAAAACAAACAAACAAGCAAACAAAATACCTGAAACAAATATTTGTCAAGAAGACAAATGGTCTTAGTCCTCAATTCTAGTTCTAAAAGTTTAGTAATGTAAACTCAGGTGGTCTCAATTTTTCATTTTGTCTTTAGTCATTCTGCAGCCCAAACAAGATGCTAGGACTACTCCACCTAAGCAGTTCATTGACTTTGCAGCATCAGTTTTTCAACTAAGAAGAAACTAAGGTTGATATGGTAGCACTTATTAATCAAAAATGTAAAAAAATTATCTAATCTATAGGAAAATTTCTCCTTGTTAGTTTAAGAGTATGGGGCATTCTCTTGTATTGAAAGCATCTTTATTGTCTATCCACATGTTTTTTGTCAATTTCTCAGCTAATGTAGAATAATTATTTGTTTTTCCAATATCTTTTTATCATAATGTATCCACATGTATCATTTCTTTCTGATGTGATAGTCAAAGTAAGAACATCTTGCTATTATCTGTAAAGCTAGCAGATTCTTTCTAGGTATTTTCTGCTTTTGTTTAGGTCTCTTTCATATTGTTCAGTTAGGAGTTGGCAACATGGCCATGGGGTTATTTCCTACTTCAGCTTTTGCTTTCATATTAAATCCTCTATTTCTGTCTTAAGACCACTCACCAAGAATGAGGAGAGAACACAGGTTGCATCTCTTTCATGACCAACACGTGAATGTTTTCTAAAGGTTTTTGAAGGCTATCCCTGATATCTGAATGAGAGAGAACTTCAAACATTACGTGACTTTATTTTAATTGATGTCTTTTCCTTTCCAACTTTAAGTTAGGTTGCACAAAAATATCTTCTCTTTATGTGTCTTTGGAAATGTCAGGCTTCCAAAAAGAAAATAGGCACATAGTCTCATATAAAATGATTCCATGTTTCTAATTTTTGTTTTGGTATTTTCTGTTTTTATGAAATTTATCTTTAGAATAATGAGTTATAATTTATTAATCCAGGGTTGACCACATAATTTGTAGGCTCAGTGCAATATAACAATTTAGGACTTCTGTTTTAAAATTATTAAGGATTTTGAGATGACAAAACCAGGGTATTGACTGCACTGGTTGTATATCCATGAAGCTGACTGAATTAATGCTTTCAAAGAACAAACGCGTATACTTGTTTACTAATTAATTGCATTTTTTCAAGTTGTTAAATTTCAATGTATCTATCCTGCAATCTAGTCAGCCTCAGCATTTCTCAGCAATAAAAATGATCCTTATCTTGTTTCATCATTTATTTTCTCCACTGGGATACCAGCAACTTCTCTATTCAGACTTAAATATGTGTCTTAAATTGGCACAAATTTTGTAGTTCCTATTAGGCCACCATTTATTGTAAATCTGCTGGACTGACATATATTCTTTTCCAAGTATCAACTCTTATGACAAACCACAGAGGCAAATCAACATAAGTGTTTTGTCATCAGTGTGCCGTATTGGAATCCTCAATTCTGTACAACCTCAGATCTTAGAACACTAAAAAAAAAAAAAAAAACATATTCTCATATATGTTCTCCATCAATGATGTAATTAGTATAAATATTAGTTGACCATTAATATATGGAGTTTTCTAATCTTTAGAGTGTGGGACAGTTTCACTCTTTATTTTTTATTTTTATTTTTTCCTTGGTAGAGTAGGTATGTAAAGAGTGTATTCCCATAATTATTCTGAAAAACCTAACACCGTTAAATAGTGTTCACTTAGTCCTCTGTAGAGATATTTTTCCTTATCATGATTTTATATCATCTTATGTTGAGCCATGCTAAATACTCACTAGTTGCCATCCATTCACTACCAGATAAAATTAAATGATCCCTAAGATATTCTCTCAGAACTTTCTTTTATCACTCTATAGTTTTTCTATGGATGTCTTCCATTATCATTGTTTCAACTATTATTTCATGAATATAAGTATCAAGATGTACTTTGTACTTTTAAGGCAAAATATGCATGTTTTTCTTTTATTTAAACTTGCATTTTCAATATTAAACCTCTTACCTCTCTACATAAAGTCATTCTCCATCTACACTGTAACAGTGTGTTACTTGAAAAGTTCTTCAAAAATGTTTATTGATTTATATTGTTAAAGCAAACTAAATATGGCCTGAGAATGACTACGCCCTTGTGGATGAACTGTAACCTAGCATAACTGGCAAAAATGAAAACCTAACTTAATAGTATGCACCTGTAACAATAACTGAGTGTTGGCCAATCCCAGTGGCCGTACTTCAGCCACTCATAGACTGCTGAGTGTTCAAACTATGTTCAAGTAAGGCAAATGACGAGCTGTAACCAATCTGTTTCTGTATCTCACTTTTGATTGCTGTACATTACTTTACCTTTTTGTCTATAAATTTGTTCTGACCACGAGACACCCCTGGAGCTTCTGTGAATCTGCTGTGATTCTGAGAGCTGCCTGACTCGCGAATCATTCATTAAAATCTTTTACATTTAATTTGGCTGAACTTTTTTTGAAAGAATATGTATACCATTAAATACACACATAAACCATACAACAAACATGAGCTTATTTTCACTGAAAGAGTAACAAATTTTAAAATATTAAAATAATCCAAGACAAAACATATATGTTTTAGTTTTCTGTATAGTATAATTCTGATAAAGTTATTTATAGTGAAAAAAATAACATGACATTGCCTCAATTTGATTTGAACTGAATTTGGTTACTTTGATCTTTTGAAGTGTGTGTGTTTCTATGTATGTTTACCTTTATATAACTTTGAAGTGGAGGTTTTATATATGTGTTATATATATATGTGTTATATATATATATGACTTGACAAATTAATATTTTTTGAGTAAAGTTACAAAAACAACTTTTCTTAATTTGCATTATAGTCCTCATTAAGCAAATTAAAGAGCATTGTTTAAAATAACATTAAATTGAGTCTTTGAATAACATTTAAAAATAACATGTTTATAATTGATCAAAGTTACATTTCTATCTTTTAAAAATATGTCCAAATCTTAAAATTGTTCATTTTTTGACATGTAACTACTCACACTTTTAGGTTTAGCAATTTTCAGAAGGTGAGATTTATGCTTAAAAATATTATTGAAGCAACTTAGATTATTTAATGAGAAAAATAACTTTAAATAATTTTGATATAATATTCTATATTTCATTTGACTGTTGATCAATCATTCAATGCCATTATTACAAAATAAAAGAATTATAAGCATGTGAATGTTATTTATACTTAAGACTTTGAAGAAAAATTCTACATATATACTAATTTTCCATTGAAATACATTTTATTACTTTTATTCAAAATAAAATATCACTAGTTTATAAGAAATAAGAAATATAATAGTATTGACAGTAGTTATTTCTCAGCTTTTCAGTGATTATAACTTAACTATATTTCAAACCAAAATATTAACATTTCAATTACAGTTATTCATCGCTTAACAACAGGAATATGTTCTGAACAAATGTGTTGTTAGGCAATTTTATTATTGTGCTAGCATCATAGAGTGTAGGCTTACACAAATCTAGGTGGTGTAATCGACTACAGGTCTAGGCTATACGGTATAATTTCATGCTCCTAGGCTACAAAGCTGCACAGCATGTTACTGTACTGAATACTGTCGGCAACTGAAAGACAATGATATTTGTGAATCTAAGCATAGAAAAGGCACAGCAAAAACATGATATAAAACATAAAAATGGTACACCTGTACAGTGCAGCTTTATGAAAATCTCATGTGACAACCATTTTATATGCCGTCCGTCATTGATCAAAATGTCATTATGAGGTGAATGATTACACATAGCTTGTAGTAATATTTGACTAAGTATCACTTTCTTTCTTAGAAAAGTCTGTACAATTGAGTAGAAATATCACAAATTGAAATGAAAGTTTCCCAAATTTAATTAGAAGGATCATCACATTTTTGTTCTAGATGCCTAGTTTGGTAGCCAATTCTGCTACTTTCCAACTATGTCATATTGAAAATATTGATTATATTTTCTGAAGCTGTTTAGTTGGTTAAAAGCTTCTAAAATATTTTAAAATATTTTACAAATGTACTGATTGATTACTTGTTTCCATAAATAGGCATTCAATAACTACAATTTACAATTTAGTAGTATACTAAACATACGTATTAAGTGCTTAGATTATAGAAATGATCACTTTTGAAAGGTTGGATTCATGGAGGAGATATAACATTTTTGTCTAAATAGAGTGCAATATATAAGAATTACTGACTGTATCATCTACAAGTTAAAGTAAATAATTTTTCTAGATGCCAGGAAGATTTTTATGAGAAATTGAACTTTGAAATATTTTGAAGCAAAAAGCAGTGTTTCCTTTGTGTTTGAGGGTGCAGTTTTTAGATAAAGGAGAAATATTTACAAAGAACCCCAAGTACAAAACAGCACGTTATGCTTTGCAAGATGTAAAATGCTGTATGATACAAAGTGATTTATTCACAACCCCAAAATCAGAAAAACTCAGAACATTGAGCTGGCTTTACCATGTTTGGTGAAAAACTGAGATGCTACCCAAATTGATATGTTCCTTTATAATCTTGATTTAACTCACTAAATATTTATATAACTTTGATATAGAAATATTAATACACTTGGCTGGGCATGCCTGTAATCCCAGAATTTTGGGAGGCCGAGGTGGGCTGATCAATTTAGGTCAGGAGATCAAGACCAGCTGGGCCAACATGGTTAAACCCTATTTCTACTAAAAATACAAAAAAAAAAAAAAAAATTAGCCAGGCATGGTGGCAGGAGAATCATCTGAACCCTGGAGGCAGAGGCTGCAGTGAGTCAAGATCACAACGCTGCACTCCAGCCTGGGCCACAGAACGAGACTCTGTCTCAAACAAACAAACAAACAAACAAACAAAAACAGAAAGAAATATTAGTACACCCGACTATAAGTGCTTCCCCAAACCCTTATAAATGTTATATAATAATTTGCATTGTATTATATTTCCAAATTATAAATTTTTTTCAAATTTTAAATATATCTAGCACCAAGAGTTTTGAAAATGGAATTATAAACCTCAATCATACCAATATAGTATTAAACATGTACCAAGGAAAATTGGTAAACAGTGATTGACATTATGCTATACAAATGGAATATAGTAGAAA
Source organism: Homo sapiens (assembly GCF_000001405.40). Lineage (NCBI taxonomy): Eukaryota > Metazoa > Chordata > Mammalia > Primates > Hominidae > Homo > Homo sapiens. Next base: position 103,441,766 of record NC_000006.12, on the reverse strand, counting down.
TGTTATTTTGCTAGGCTTATGATAGTAGTGTTTATTTTGTTATGATGGTCAAAGTTTGAGAGAACAAACATCAATTTGCTTTATACAACATTAATACAATGCGATAATGAGTGTTAGAGAATTTGAGATAATAAGAATGTTTCTTTTTAATTTGTAATGCATGAACAGAAAAGCCATAGCCATGCATGTTGAAGTGCCTTTGGTGATGAAGGTTGCACTGTATTCAAACTGCAAATGTCCTCTCTGCAAAGGCGCTCTATCAGCTGGAAGCTGGACAGAACAGAAACTCCTAAAAGATAAAGGAGAAGTTGTCAGCTACCAGTGAAAGGAATTTATTTTATCCCCCCACCCCACAGAGTGAGATTATTGAGTGATGTGACACCTGAGATTTTACAGTAAGTGTTGCAGGGAGCAAGCATTTGAAGTAGACAGCATCTAGTAGGGCCCCAGAAGAGAGAAGATGGGCCAAACCTGAAGATCAAAGCTTGACTAGAAAAATCATTTCACAGCATGAAAAAAGTCAGAATATAAGAACCCACATGTTAAACTGCAAGATACTGAAATACACCCAAAGGGTCAAACCTTTCATGGCATGAAGGAATCGAAGTTTGCTAGTTTTATAAACCAGTTGCAGATTCAATTATGGTCATTGTTCATTGAAATTATTTTTATAATTCAGGGGCAAAACACTTGTCTTTTAAAAAGAGAATCTTTTAAAAAGACAATACGAGTATCTTTGGAGTAAGTGAACATGCAAAATCGTATATTAAGAAATAATATCAATAGGATAGATACTAATACATTATAATTGAATTTCTCATATGTAAATATGATCCCATTCAATTTTAAAATTGGATACATTTATTGTGATAGCATCTTATTATAATATTTTATGCTGTGTAAATAGATGATTTATGTAGATACAATTTTTAAATTAACTTCTCTATTTCACCTGCCCAGAGGGTTCATATATTAAAAATTATGTACTTAGCTGAAGGTCCTGGTTGTCTAAGCTTATGGGACAACCAGGACTGTCAGCTAATTATATAATTTTTGATAACCAGGACCTAATTATATAATTTTTCTACAGTTTTGAATTATTAAAACTTTCAGTGTAATTATTTGAATAGATAACTTCACTAACTGATAACATTGTTTTATTTAAAATTATTTCATGGTTTTATTCTTTACCCATAGTGGAAATTATATAATCAGGAATTTTCTTATTATAATATGATGTACATCTTCTATTTTTTTCTGATAATGTTGATTTACTCTGTTTAGCTTATTTAAAAAATTTTATATAGTGAAATACACAGATCTGTTTTACAATTCTATAAATTTGACTCTCACATTGTAAAACAGTATCTAATCAAAATAAAGAATATTTTCATCATGCCCAGAAGTTCCCTTTTGTCTCTTTCCAATCAATTCCAACTAACTTTAAGCAACTTCTGTTTTGATTTCTAGCCCATTAGATTAGTTTTGCCTGTTGCCAAATTTCTTATTAATGGGATTATACAGTAGATGTTGATTTGTGACCAGCTTCTTTTGCTTTATATAATGCATTTTGAAATTAATGTTATTATATGTATCAATAATTATTTCTTATCGTTTGGTAGTGTACAATTGTTTAAATATCCCACAATATTTTATTTATTTTCTGCTTATGAACACAGGTTTTTTCTAGTTTTTAACTTTTATAAGTGAAGTTGCTAAAAATTTTTTGTGGACGTATGTGTTCATTTCTCATGCAAAATATTTAGGGTATATTTAACTTTAGAAAGAACTGACAAAGAATTTTGCGAGTAGTTTTGCCATTGTCCATTCCCATCAACTCCAGTTATTGTACATCCTTACCAACATTTGGCCTTATCAATCTTTATAATTTTAGTTATTCTAATGAATTTGAATTGATATTTAAATATGCTTTTAAATTACATTACCCTGCCTACTAACAATGTTGAGTACTTTTCCATGAGCATGTCAGATTTTTATGTATCTTTCTTTATGAAGTGTCTTTTAAAATCATTTGCCCACTTTTTTTGGTTTTTTTTGAGACAGAGCTTCACTCTTGTTGCCCAGGCTGGAGTGCAATGGCACTATCTCGGCTCATTGCAACCTCCGTTTCACCAGTTCAAGTGATTCTCCTGCCTCAGCCTCCTGAGTAGTTAAGATTAAAGGCATGCGCCACCATGTCCGGCTAATTTTGTATTTTTTTAGTAGAGACGAGGTTTCTCCATGTTGGTCAGGCTGGTCTTGAACTCCCGTCCTCAGGTGATCTGCCTGCTTCGGCCTTCCTAAGTATTGGGATTACAGGCGTGAGCCACCGTGCCTGGCCTGCCCACATTTTGAATTGTTCGTTTTCTCATTGTTGATTAGTAGGAATATATATATAATCCATATATACATATATACACATACATATAGATACATAGAGATACATGTTTATATATACATAAAGATAGATAATATAGCCATATTTTTAGATACAACTCATTTGTTACATATATGTATTTCAAACAATTTTTCAGTATAGTTTTTGATTTACCTGTATTTACTTCCATAATGGGGTCTTTTGAAAAGCAGCAATGTCTAATTTGATAAATTACACTTCTTTATACTTTTCTTTTATGGTAGTGCTTTTTGGGTTTTGTCTAAGAAATTTTACCTATCTCAACATACTAAGATATTCTAGATTTTCTTTCCCAAATTTATATTTTTCCATATTTATCCAGTTGTTTCAGATTCAAAATCTTTTTTTTGAATATTGTTGAAATTATGTTGATTGTATACATGTATGATTGGTTTGTAGATGCTCTATTCTGTTACATTAATCCATTTGTCTAACTTTATATTATTTCCTAAAATCAGGTAATGTAACTTCTTTACTTTGATCATTTTCAAGATAGTCTTATTGTCTAGCAGATTTTGGAGTGATGGTTTTCACTGTGACCTCAGTTCTCTCATGGGTCTGAGAAGAGTCTATGGTTTTCAGTTTGTCCAGCTTTGATTTTTTTTTCCTTGTAAAGATAGGAGAGACGAATTCCTAGCGTTTACATGTTGAAGCTAAAACCAAAGATTCTTCTCTAAATCAAGTTCTGTTTATTGTTGTCTATGGCTGTGTGTTTTTATTGGTCTTTTATTATGGTTTGTAATAGTTGTATGAAAGCTAAACATATTTTTAGGACAGCAGACAAATAAATATATTTTATGCTCGTAGGTGTGTCCATCTATCCTTCTGCTAGGTCTTTGGTGTGGTAGTTTCAATTAATTTACAAAGAGGTATTTCTGAGTTGAGTTTATGTGTGGTGTGTGGTGTGTGCCTGTGTGTGTGTGTGTTTAATGTGTGTAGTGTGTCTGGTGGCTATAATTAATCTCACTATATTATAGCCTCAAATACCTCAAGTCCTAGCTTGTGATTAAGGTGGGGCTGGTTTTACATAGGGTTTTTCTCTGCATCTTCTTTACCCTCAGGCTTTAGGTTTTCCTGTTGTGTTACATTCTGTTAGAATTGCCCTTGGAGACCAGGGAACACTCCAGAGGTTCACATTGTTATCTTTTAATTGTTGGTGGCTACACTGATGGTTAATAACATTCTGTTTTATTAAGCCTTAATCTTAGGCATGATGTCCTTACATTGCAGAGAATTGGCTGTCCCAATATTCTTGTTCTTCCCTCATCTGTAGTACCAGGTCCAGCATTTATTCCTACTCCTTTTTGTTTAGTAGATAATATTTTTCTGTTCTGTTTCTCTAGAAGCAATAATTTACCCTTGTACCTGCAGGATACAGTTCTGGTTGTTCTTTGCCCCCATAGATGCTTTTGTTTCCTAGGAGAGCTAAACAGAAGGATCCTTGCAAAGTCGGTGGCCCTCCCATAGCTGCTGTTGCTCACCACCAAAGACATGTACTGTGATGGGTGTTGATAGGATTTGGCTGTGTTCCCCCCTAAATCTCATCTTGAATTGTAGTTTCTATAACCCTCATGTGTCATGGGAGGGAGCCAGTGAAACGTAATTGAATATGGGAGTGATTACCCCCATGCTCTTCTCATGATAGTGAGTTCTTATGAGATCTGATGGTTTTATAAGTGGCTTTTTCCCCTTTGCTTGGCATGTGAAGAAGGACATATTTGCTTCTCCTTCTGTCATGATTGTACGTGTCCAGAGGCCACCTGAGCCATGTGGAACTGTGAGTCAATTAAACCTCTTTTCTTTATAAATTACCCAGTCTCGGGCAGTTCTTTATAGCAGCATGAGAATCAATTAATACCATAAATTGGTACAAGGAGCGGGGTACCACTCAGGTATCTGTAAAGATACCTAAAAATCTGGAAGCAAAAAGTGGGTAACAGGCAGAGGTTGGAACAGTTTGGAGGGCTCAGAAGAAGACAGGAAAATATGGGAAAGTTTAGAACTTCCTAGTGACTTGGAAGGCTCAGGAGACAGGAAGATATGGGAAAGTTGGAACTTCCTAGAGACTTGTTGAATTGCTTTGACCAGAATGCTAATAGAGACATAGGCAATGAAGTCCAGGCCAAGGTGGTCTCAGATGAAGATTAGGAACTTGTTGGGAACTGGAGTAAAGGTGATTCTTCTAATGCTTTAGCAAAGAGACTGGCAGCATTTTGCCCCTGCCCTAGAGATCTGTGGAACTTTGAACTTGAGAGAGATGATTTAGGGTATCTGGCAGAAGAAATGTCTAAGCAGCAAAGTGTTCAAGAGGAAGCAGAGCACAAAAGTTAGGAAAATTTGCAGCCTGATGATGCAATAGGAAAAATAAATAAATAAATAAACTTTAGTGAAAAATTCAAGCTCACTGCAGAAATTTTCATACGTAATGATGAAGCAAACAATAATCACCAAGATAAGGGGGAAAATGTCTCCAGGGCATGTCAGAGAACTTCATGGCAGCCCCTCCTGTCACAGATGTGGAGGCTTAAGAAAGAAAAATGGTTTTGTAGGCCAGGCCCAGGGCCCCACTGCTGTGTGCAGTTGTGGGACTTGGTGCCCTGGCTAAAAGGGGCCAAGGTACAGCTTAGACTGTTGCTTCAGAGGGTGCAAGTCCCAAGCATTGGCAGCTTCCACATGGTGTTGAGCCTGCAGGTGCACAGAAGTCAAAAATTGAGATTTGTGAACCTCCACCTAGATTTCAGATGATGTATGGAAATGCCTGGATGTCCAGGCAGGAGTTTGCTGCCAGAGTGGAGCCCTCATGGAGAACCTCTGCTAGGGCAGTAAAGGGGGAAATGTGAGGTTGAACCCCACACAAAGAGTCCCCACTGGGGCACTGCCTAGTGGAGCTGTGAGAAGAGGCTCACCATTCTCCAGACTCCAGAGTGGTAGATCCACCAATAGCTTGCACTGTGCATCTGGAAAAGCTGCAGTACCAGCCATTGAAAGTAGCTGCGACAGGGGCTGTACCCTGCAAAGTCATAAGGATGGAACTGCCCAAAGCTATGAGAGCCCACCTCTTGCATCAGCAAAATTAGGACATTAGACATGGAGTCAAAGTAAAACTTTAGGGCTTAATGACTTCCCTGTTGGATTTTGGACTTGCATGGGGCCTGTAGCCCCTTTGTTTTGGCCAATTTCTCCCATTTGGAATGGGTGTATTTACCCAATACCTGTACTCCCATTGTATCTAGGTAGTAACAACTTACTTTCAATTTTACAGACTCATAGCCAGAAGGGACTTGCCTTGTCTCAGATGTGACTTTGGACTTGGAACTTTGGATTAATGCTGGAAGGAACTAAGACTTTGGGGGACTGTTGGAAGGGCATGATTGTGTTTTAAAATGTGAGGACATGAAATTTGGGATAGGTCAGGGATGGAATTATATAGTTTGGCTGTGTCCCCACTCAAATCTCATCTTGAATTGTGGTTTCAATAATCCTCACATGTTGTAAGAGGGACCTGGCGGGAGATAAATGAATCATGGGGGCAGTTATCCCAGTGCTGTTTTTGTTATAGTGAGTGAGTTCTCACAATACCTGATGGTTTTTCAATGGTCTTTCCCTCTTTGCTTGGCACTTCTGTCTCCTGCCGCCATGTAAAGAAGGACATGTTTGTTTCCACATCTGGCATAATTGTAAGTTTCCTGGGGCCTCTCCAGCTATGCGGAACTGTGAGTCAATTAAAACTCTTTTCTTTATAAATTACCCAGTCTCAGGCAGTTATTTATAGCAGTGTGAGAACAGGCTAATACAGGTGTTTTCTGTGAAGTCTGGCTCATACTCTTTGTCAGTACCCAGTGAATTACACTGTTAAAAAGTCTGCAAGATTTTGTAAACTTCCCCTAATTTTTCGATATTCTAGAGTTCCACACTTTCTCACATAAACTCTGAGAACACTGGTGAGAACTGCTGAGGACACTGGAGGAAAGTCATTGCAACTAGGGAAAAAAAGAACCAAAAAAGTTATCTATTAATAATGAAAGGGTAAGTACTGATCCCATAACTAGATATGTAGTGGTGAAGGAACAAGGCTGGAAACAGTTAATTTTCTGAGACCCAGAGACCCTGGACCTGCTTAGGACTGAAGTTTATCATACAGATTAAACCTGAGCCTTAAACAGTCTTATCCCCACAATCAGAGTAGCAACTATCTGGAGTGTTCTGCTACCTCCATAGACATTCCTAAGGGAATTGTGACATGAAAGACCTACTTGAGGTTTCCACCAAGTTCTCTGTCTGAATCCTTATGTGCTTTTGATTCCATGTAGAACAGGTAAGCAAATGTTCACATCTTGTCTCTCATCAGGGGCCAGCTTCTCCATAGATCAACTACTAAATGGTTGTCTTGCCATCTCAAACTTTTGATAGGTTCAAGCAAAGTTATGGACTTGCTGTTTGCCTGGTCCTTTGTTGTTGTTCTTATATGAGTAGGAGTGATATTCTTTGCAACCTTCTACATCCTTAAGTAGACACATGAAATGTAATAATGATTTTACCAGTTGTATCTAGTTTTTAAGACTTATTTTTTGTGGTTTGCTTACTGTATCATAAGTTACGCCTTGATAGCTAGAGCCAGAAATCAATAATTTTTTCCTTCATTTATTTTGTTTTTTTTTATGATAGATCCTTTCAACATGCATACTAATTTGCTTCTTCCATTTTCAGATTTTGTTTTGAAAATAATCTCTAGCTGCTGGTCCCAATAGGTGGTTTTGTTATTCATGCAAAAGATAGGTCAACATGTAAGTATTGTTTTAAATATGAATTCAAATAATTCTTGAGTCTTTTTTCTATTTGTGAAAGAATCATGTTTTGTCAGCAATTTCCTGGAAAGTACAAAATTGGCTTTGTACCATTTTGTGATTTTATCATCATTGTATTTTGAATTGTAGCTGTGTGTACCATTTTAAGAATTTATCATCATTGTATTTTGAATTGCGGCTGGCTCTAGATCACCTTTGAGCCTGCACTAATTATGGTGTTGAAAAAAGGGAAAAAAAACAAGACATTCATGATGACATTTTGAAGGTTAAGAAAGTACAAAGATTGTTCTCTTTGATATCAAGTTATCTCATATACTTACAGATAATAAAGAAACCCTGAACTCATTTCTTAGTTCAGCACTTATGTTTGTATTTTCTCTGCTTCCATATATGTTGATTTCTTACTTCCAAAAAAGTATTACAAGAATGAGCCAGAAACAATATTTAGAAAGCTTGTTTCTGCTGCTGTAAAGATAAAGTGAATAAAGTTAGTATTATTGCTGTATTTCACATTCTTTAAAATATTCTAGAGCTTGGGAAAATCTCTTAAATTACAGGCAATATGGGTCAATGTCCTACAGTAGTTTCTAAGACTTTTCTGCTTATATCAACAGTTTTAATTTCCAAATTTCACCAAGAAACTCTCCTCATTAGAGTGCAAAAAAAAAAAAAACTTTCTCTTTCCTTCATTTTTACATGTTGATAGATTTTAATTTAATCTATCTGCAAGGTTGTCATACTTTCTGTAAGGTTTCCTTTGATTCTTAATGCCAGTTTGTCAGCTGGCGATTCCAAACTGCTACACTTGGCTTGCAATCTTTAAAATACTACTTGAGTGTAGAGTTCTATTTTAGCTTTCCGCCGTCATTCCTCATGTAAGCTTTAAATGAAATATTGACATTTTTCATATTCCTTTAATATATTATATGCACCCTCTGCAGTTCTTCACGTTTTGGCCTGAAATAATTTTAAACATAGGGATATATAATTTTACATATCACTCTTATCAGTTCGAGCTTTCCCTGACAAGCTATTAATCTTTGAAATATTTTGCCCAATGCTATGACATACTGTCAGGGAAGAAGTGGGATTCATTGCTTCCAAATTCAAATTCATTTGGGCAGAAATAGAACATCATTATAGATATTTATCATTTTTCACACACTCAAAATTTTGGTAAATTAAGTGCATCTGAGTCTTCAGTTGGGTCATCATAATTAGTGCCTAAACAATGTAAATAAGATATATCATTCATCAGACTTGATTATGACTTAACATACTTGTTTTATCTTGATGATATTTATACCTGTCAAAAACCATTATCAACTTCAGTACATACTTTTTTTTTTTTTTTTTTTTTAATACAGGGAGTTTCGCTCTTCTTGCTTAGGCTGGAATGCAATGTTGTGATCCCAGCTTACTGCAACCTCTGCCTTTTTGGTTCAAGTGATTCTCCTGACTCAACCTCCCAAGCAGTTGGGACCACAAGCATGTGTTACCACCCCCAGCTAATTGTGTATTTTTAGCAGAGACGGGGTTTCATCATGTTGGTCAGGCTGTTCTCAAACTCCTGACCTCAGGTGATCTACCCACCTCAGTCCCCTGAAGTTCTGGAATGACAGGTGTGAGCCACTATGCCTAGCCCTTCAGTACTTAAATTATTTCAAATACTGTGAAAATCACTGAGGAGTTAAGTATGTGACAGGAGTATTATTGATAGGAATTTTAGTATGAAAATCATTATTTTCCAATTAACTAATTTGTTTATACTATAATAGTCATCATTTTAAGAGAAAAAATGTATAATTTTATAAAATGTAAGTTACATATTTATAGGAACATTTCAATTTTCTCACTTCTACATTTCCAGCACATGGTAAAGTGTTTTATAAACACAAAGGGCTTGATAAATAGATACTGATGAAGTACATATATGAATAAATGTTTGAATGTGTTTCACATTAACTAAAAGGCTACTTCATTGAATATCCAATTTTCAGTTCCAACCTTGATTTTTGACAAAAAAACTTAGTCCTTTTGGACTTTAGTTGCCTCATAAGTGATAGTAGAGTTGAGTTCATTGGTTTCCAAGGTATTTCTTAAAACAAAGAGTCAATTTGTTCATATATCTTTGATGCAACCATAAATATCCCTAATAATCTTGTTTCCAAACTTACACTGTTTTTTGCTAATTAGTCAATTCATGTTATTTTTCTTTTTGCCTTACTACTTTGTTGATTGAAACAGAAACATGGAAAATATAATTTATTGCCAAGTTCATATACAAGTATGTTTCTTTTACTTTCATTGTTGATTCTCTGCTTATTTTATTTTGAGTATTTTTTCAGAGTGGCTTTAGATGTATGTTTATTTCTTCACTCTCTAACTCTGAATTTTATGACACATCTAAAAATAAGCTTCTCTCATAATTTAACAGGGAATCTATAATTAGGTAAAGCAAAGGCAAGTTAAAACATCTAAATCAGTAGAGCATTTTAAATAATTTTTAAAATATAATCTTATAATCTTTGATAAAGTTTTATAAATAAAATTCTAGAAATTAATTTTTGAAAGTGAGCCTTATTTGGGTGTAAGGATGGAAATTAAATAGTTAAATGATCATTTAATATGGAACTATCTATATTCTTATTTAGCAATACCTTGATGAAATAACATAAGCAATGTTACATTGAAAGATATAAACACTTTACTATAAATTATGACCATGATTTTTTTCTCTAATATCAACTTGGGTGGGAAAATATTACTTTAGGATTTCTTACTTGTATCATCAAAATGGACTGTATAAATTCAGGATTTAATACATGAAATGCAGTCCTTATGCAATTCACAGTTATAATATTTTTAAATTATCTAATAAATCTACTGATAAAAATCATTATTAAAGAAGTTAAAGCAAAGTTGCTAATTTCATTTTAATAACCAGTTAAGCCTAATATTAAAGATCTGGCTTAATGGTAATGCTTTTTAATTTTTTGAAAAATCATGTAAAACCATTATATTATTTCATTATTTATTATAAAATAAAAATTAAAAAATGAGGTGGAGAGACTTTTGTTTAATAAAGAAGATTATTAATTTATAGCAGTTGTAATTGACAAAGTTCAAAATATGAAATAAATTAACCAATAAATATGATTGAATTCATAAAATTTCCTTTTAGCTCCGGTTAAAGTTGTTTAAAATAATATACTGGGGCACAAATCCTCAACTGCTATATTCAGACATTAATTATAGACTCTGGTAATATTTATCGATGTGTAAAAATTTAAAAATCAGTGGCCCAGAATGTAGCTGACGTAAATTACAGAAATTATTTTTAACATTTTATTTATTTATTTGACAAAAATTCTATCTATTATGTACATGATGTTTCAAAATGTGTATACATTGTGGAATCACTAAATTGAGCTAATTAACAAATGCATGAAATTACATACTTTTCATTTCTTTTGTAGTAAGAATACTTTGTCTTGTTCCTGATCTTAGAGAAAAGGCTTGCAACTTTTCACCTTTCAGTTTGTTATGAGCTGTGGGTTTGTCATATATGATCTACACTGTGTTGAGGTGTATTCTTACATACCTAATTATTCAGAATCTTAAAATAAAGGAATGTTGCATTTTGTCAGTTGCTTTTTCTGACTCTATTGAAATGATCATATAGTTTCTGTCCTTCATTCTGTCCAGCATATCACATACTGATTTCTGGTTTCATACCATTATGGTTGGAAATGATACTTGATATAATTGCAATCTTCTTAAATTTGTTGAGACTTGTTTTGTGGCATAATATGTGATTTATCCTAGAGAATGTTCTATGTGTGCTTGAAAAGAATGTGTATTCTGCTGCTGTTAGGTAGAATGTCTTGTATATGTCTGTTAGGTTCATTTGGCCTACAGTGTAGTTTAAGTTTCATGTTTTCTTATTGATTTTCAGTCCAAATGATTTGTTCCTTATTATAGTTCCTTATTGTTGTATTACAATGTATCCCTCCCTTTAGATCTATTGATATTTATCTTATATATTTAGGTGCTCTGATGTTGGGTGCACATATGTAATTGTTATCTTCTCTAGATAAATTGACCTCTTTATTATTATGTCATAGCTTCCTTTGTCTCATTTCACAGTTTTTCACTTAAAGTCTGTTTTATCTGATATAAATGTGGCCACTCCTGCTCTCTTTTGATTTCCATTTGTGTGGAATACTTTTTTCATTCCTTTACTTTCATTGTATGTGTATCCTTACAGGTGAACTAAGTCTTTTGTAGGCAGCATGTAGTTTAGCCTTTTTATTTAATCATCAGCCACTCTATGTCTTTTGACTGGAGAATTTAATCTATCATTCAGGGTAATGGTGGATAAATAGAAACTTAGTACTTCCATTTGTTAGTTATTTTCTGGTTGTTTTGTAGATTGTTCCTTTCTTCTTGATGTCTTTGTAATTAGGTGATTTTCTTTAATGATATGCTTTGTTTCTTTATGTTTTGTCTTTTTTGTATATACTATAAGTTTCTGCATTGTGCTTACCAAGAGGATTGCAAAAAACATCCTATAGTTATAACAAGCTATTTTAAGCTGATAATAATTAACTCTGATTGCATAAAAATCTCTATACTTTGTAAAATTTTTAAAGAACTTTTTTCCAACTTTTATTTTAAATTTCAGAGGTACATGTGCAGGTTTGTTACAAAGACATATTGAATGATATTGGGTCTTGAAGTATGACTAAACCTGAAATGAGCCCAATAAATGAGCAAAGTAAGCAATAGGTAGTTTTCAAACTTTGCTTTTTTATTTCTGTTCCCTCTTTTGTATTTTCCAGTGTCTAGTATTCCCATCTTTATGTCCATGTGCACCCAATATTTAGCTCCCACTTATAAGTGAGAACATGCAATATTTTGCCTTCTTTTTCTGTGTTAGTTCACTTAAGAAAATCATCTCCAGCTGCATACTCATTGCTGCAAAGGACATGATTTCATTCTTTTTATGGCTGCATAGAATTCCATAGTATATATGTACCACATTTTCTTTAACCAGTCCACTGTTGGTGGGCACTTGGGTTGGTTCCATGTTTTTGCTATTGTGAATAGCACTGTAATGAACATATGAGTTTATGTGGGGTTTTTTTTGGTAGAAAGAGTTATTTTCCTTTGGTTATATATCCAGTAACGAAATTGCTGAGTTGAATGGTAGTTCAAGGCTTAGTACTATGAAAACTTTCCAAATTGCTCTCCATGGTGGCTGAACTAATTTACAATCCCACCAATAGTGTATAAGTGTCCCCTTTTCTCTGAAGCCCCACTAACATCTGTTAATTTTTTAAATTTTTTTTAAAGCCATTCTGACTGTGTGAGATGGTATCTCATTGTGGTTTTTATTTTCATTTCTGTGATGATTAGTGATTCTGAACATTTTTCCTATGTCAGCCACTTGTATGTCTTCTTTTGAGAAGTGTCTGTTCATGCCCTTTGCCTGCTTTTTAATGGGGTTATTTGGTTTTTTTGCTCATTGATTTAAGTTCCTTATACAGTCTGGATACTAGGCCTTAGTTGGATGCATAGATTTTATAAATATTTTCTCCCATTCTGTAGGTTGTCTGTTTACTCTGTTGACAGTTTCTTTTTCTTTGCAGAAGCTCTTTAGTTTAATTAGGTCTCACTTGGAAATTTTTGTTTTTGTTGCAGTTGCTTTTGAAGACTTAGCCATAAATTCTTTGTCAAGGCCGATATCAGTAAGGGTATTTCCTACTTTTTTTCTAGGATTTTTATAGTTTGAGCTCTTACATTTAAGTCTTTAATTCATGTGTAGTTAATTTTTGTATATGGTGATAGTTAGGAGTCCACTTTCATTCTTTGGCATATGGGTAGCCAGTTACCCCAGCCCCATTTTTGAATAGAGAGTCCTTTTCCTCATTTTTGTTTCCTTATTTTTGTTGACTTGTTGAGAAGCAGATTGTAGGTGTGCAGCTTTATTTGTGGGTTCTGTATTCTGTTCTACTGGTCTGTGTGTCTATTTTTGTGCCAGTACAATATTGTTTTGGATACTGTAGCCTTGTAGTATAGTCTGAAGTCTGGTTACTGTGATACCTCCAGCTTTCTTCATTTTTCTTAGTATCACTTTGTCTGTTCAAGCTCTTTTTTGGTTCCATATGAATTTTAGAATATTTTTTTCTAATTCTGTGAAAAAATATGTTAGTTGTTTGATAGGAATACCACTGAAACTGTGAATTGCTTTGGATAGTATTGCCATTTGAACAATATTGATTCTTCCTATTTATGAGCATGGGATGTTTTTCCATTTGTTTGAGTCATCTATGGTTTCTTTCAAAAGTGTTTTGTAGTTTTCCAAGGACAGATCTGTCACTTTCTTGGTTAGATGTATTCCTAGGTATTTCATTCTTATTGTGGCTTCTGTAAATGGAATTGTATTCTTGATTTGGCAGTCAGCTTAAACGTTATTGATACATGGATATGCTACTGATTTTTGTACATTGATTTTTGTATCTTGAAAATTTGCTGAAGTTGTTTATCAGTTCAAATAGCTTTTTGGTGGTCTTTAGGCTTTTCCAGAATCATATTGTCAGGGAAGAGAGATAATTTGACTTCTTCCTTTCCTATTTGTATGTCTTTTATTTGTTCCTCCTACCTGGTTGCTCTGGCTAGGACTTCCAGTAAAGTAATGAATAGGATTGATGAGATTGGGCATCTTTTTCTTGTTCTAATTCTCAAGGGGAATAGTTTCAGTTTTGTTCATTCAATACGATGTTGGCCATGGGTTTGCCATAGATGGCTCTTATTATTTTGACAGATGTACCTTTGAAATCTAGTTTGTTTAGGGTTTTATCATGAAGGTATGCTGGATTTTACTGAAAGCTTTTTTTTTGTATTTGGTGAGATGATCATATGATTTTTGTCTTTAATTTTATTTATGTGGTGAAACACATTTATTGATACATGCATTTTGCACCAGCATTGCATCCCCAGAATAAAGCCTACTTCATTATGGTGAATTAATTTTTGGTGTGCTACTGGATTTTATTTGCTAATATTTTATTGAGGATTTTTGTGTCTATGTTCATCACTGGCCTGTGGTTTTCTTTTTTCATTGTGTCTCCAACAGGTTTTGTTATCAGGATGATGTTGGCTATGTAGAATAAGCCAGAAATGAATCCCTCCTCCTCAAATTTTTGGAATAGTTTCAGTAGCATTGGTATGAGCTTTTCTTCATATCTCTGGTAGAAGTAGAACTCAGCTGTGAATCTACCTGGTCTAGGGCCTTTTTTGGTTGATTGGCTTTTTTACTACTGATTCAATTTTGGAACTTGCTGTTGTTCTGTTCTGGGTTTCAATTATTTCCTGGTTCAATTTTGGGGCGTTTTGTGTTTCCAGGCATTTATTCATTTCTTCTAGACTTTTTACTTTGTGTTCATAGAGTTTACAATAGTCTCTGAAGATCTTTTGTATTTCTGTGGGATCAGTTGTAAAGATCACCAAAACCAAATGTTGGTTCTCTGTAAGGATAAACTGTACTTTTCTTTCAACTCCCTCTAAAGCTAAATTTCTGATGTCATAATTTACTTTTTATATTGTGTATTTCTTAACAAATTATTATTGGTATTGTTATTTTTAACAGATTTGTCTTATAATCTTCATATTTAAAATATAACTGACTTATACTCCACCATTACAGTATTGGGGTATTCTGAATTTTACCACATGCTCACTTTCACCAGGAAGTTTTATACTCTCATACTAATTACCATCCTTTTCTCTCACCCTGAATAACTACTTTTGGCATTTATTTTAAGACCAGTTTGGTGATGATGGATGTCTCAGTTTTTATTTGACTAAGAGAATATTTATCTTTCCTTCATTTTTGGTGCACAGCTTTTTTGAGTATACTATTCTTGCTTGGAAATTGTTTTTTGTTTGTTTGTTTCTTTCTTTCTTTCAACATTTTAAGCATGCCATCCTACTCCCCATTCTGTAAGGTGTCTGCTGAGAAATGTGCCGTTAGCCTGATTAGAAGTCCTGTATAAGTCATTTGCTTTTTTTTCCCTTGCTACTTTCAGAATACTCCTTTCGTCTTTGATTTTTGACAGTTTGGTAATCATATGTTTTGCTGTAATTTCATTTGGATTGAATCTGGTTGAAGATTTTTGTCCTTCCTATACCTGGATATTTATATCTTTATCCAATTTTCTTTTCTTTTCTTTTCTTTTTGTTTTTGAGATGGAATCTCACTCTGTTGCCAGGCTGGAGTGCAGTGGCGCAATCTTGGCTCATTGCAACCTCTGCCTCCCGGGTTCAAGTGATTCTTCTGCCTCAGTCTCCAGAGTAGCTGAGACTACAGGCAAGTGCCACCACCCCCAGCTAATTTTTGTATTTTTAGTAGAGACGGGGTTTCACCATGTTGGCCAGGATGGTCTCAATCTCTTGACCTTGTGATCTACCCTCCTTGGCCTCCCAAAGTGCTTGGAAGACAGGCGTGAGCCACTGTGCCTGGCACTTTATCCAATTTTCAAAAGGTTTCTGTTATTAATTATTTAAATAAGCTTCCTGCATTTAGTTTTTCTCTTCTTCACAAATAATCTTATAACTCAAATATTTGCTCTTTTATTGCTGTTCAATATATCCTGCAAGCATTCTTCATTTTTTAAATTACTTTTTATCTTTTCTTCTCTGACAGTATGTTTACAAATAAACTGTCTTTGAGTTCACAGATTTTTATTCTTCTGCCTTATTAATTATGTTATTGACACTGTCTATAGCAGTTTTCATTTCACTCATTGTGTAATTCATCTCCAGAATTCTTGTTCAATTTTTTTAACTGTTTCAATCTCTTTGTTAAATTTATAATTTTGGTCATCCATTGTTTCTCTGATTTCATTGAATTATTTCTCAATATTTTCTTGAATTTTATTGAGATTCATTAAAACAATAACATTGAATTCTTTGCCAAGCAGTTTTCATATCTACATGTTTTGAGGCCAGTTACTTGTAGATTATTTTGGGTTTTTTTGGTGGTGTTATGTCTTTCTCTTTATATTTGTTGTTGCCTTATGTTGTTGTCCACACATTTTAAGTAAGCGCTTATTACAGTCTTTGTAGACTGACTTTGTCTGGGAAAACCTTTCACCCATACAGAGATCCTAGGCAGGTTATCTGATGTGGTCTGAGGGTGCACATGCTGCTGGAGTCATTGGAAGGTTTGCCTCATGCATTGATAAACAGGTGCGTAAGCCTGGAGCCTGGGTCCATGAAGTTGGGCTTGAAGCCTAGATCCACCGGGGCAGACCTGTTGATTGGATCTGCAGGGATGGAGGTAGAGCCTGGGTACATAAAGGCAGACCTGGAGTTCATATCTACTCCAGGTAGTAGATGGAAGTCAAATTATCTCTCTTCACTGACAATATGATTCTGGTCTGATTGACCAGAAAACTGTGTCCACAGGGACTAAGCTGACAGTAGGATGGGCCTTGGAGCTGGCAGTGGGGTGGGCTTTGAGTATGATTCTACAATGACTGGTCAGGCATTGGGATGGGCTTTGCACCTGGGTCCTCTGGGATGGACATGGACCTTGAGTCCATAGGTACTATCTTGGAGCCTGGAGATCTACAGGGGTGCTATTGTATCCTTAAGCCATGGAGTCCAGCTTGGCACTGGCACCTACTTGTATACGCCTATACCCTGAGTCTGCTGGAGCAAGGTTGAACCCTGGAGTCACCAAGACTTGAATGGAACCTGGGATGCAGGGAATGGCGTGGTGCTAGGTGAGCCTGAAGGCTGTATCAACAATGATCAGCCTGGTTGTGTCCACAGATGCTAACTAGTGCTGCAGTGGTTGACTAGGTGTTCAGGCATGTCTGAAGTATGTGGCTGTGGGGGCTAACCCAGTGCTAGGGGTATTCTGGAGCCTGTGATCACTGAGGATGGGCTGAAAGGTAGGGTAGCTCGGAGATCAAGTCTGTTGCACAGGCCTGAAACAAAGAGCTATGGGATGTAGCCTTGCATGGGTGCAAGCATGGACCTTCAGTTTGCAAGTAGCAGTATAGAGTCTGGGGCAATGGAGGCCTGCTTGGTTCTGGGTTTTACTAGGTTGGGCATACTTTTGGGATCTGAGACAAAGTCCAGAGCTCAATCCCCTCTCCTTCTCCCATCCAGAGGTTATCTCTCTCTCCATGCTATGCTCCCTGAGTTGACGAAGGAGTGATGCAGGTAATGTAAGATTGTCATTCCTACCCTTGTCACTCATCTCTTCTTATGTTTGTGCTAGAGCCTGGTGCTGTAATTTTTCACCTGATTTCCTTAGCTCTTGTGAAGGTATTTTTGTGTGTGGATAGGTGTTTGAATTGATGTTTCTGCCAGGGAATGAGCACTGGAGAGTCCTTTTCTATCATCTGGCTGGCCTTCATCCCTAAAGAAACTATTAAAAAAAATCTTGATTAGCATCTTCACCTTTAATTTAAAACAATTATTTGCATTATATGGTTACTTGTGTTTAAAAATTTCTAGTGCCTGGGAATAAATATATAGCATGAACATTTTAGGGTCTGTAACTAGAAAGGAAAAAATAAAAGTAGAAAATAGCTGCATTCCTAATACTGGAATATATATAAAATATATATATTTACCATATAAAATACCATATATATACCATATAATATACCATATAATGTACCATATAATATATATATAATGGTAAATATAAGTATTTACCATAAATTTCTTTATATAGAACATAACATAATGCTTTGTTCACAATGTCTATATACAGGGTTATACAGATAGATAAATAATATTGTCAAACAATATCTATATACACATAATTTAAATTATCTTAAATGTGTGTACAAGTCCATTTTTGCATCAATTAGTGATTATGCCAGTTCCTCAAAATAAATAAAGAAATTTTACATTAACAATTAGTAAGACTGTATTAGACTTATATCTCCTATGTCACAAATGTTGAAATAATTCATTAGGAAAAGTTATTTCTAGTAAAAATTATGATCATATCTTGTAGAGAAAGAAATATAGCAAATATAATGAAAAACGTAATTATAAAATATTATGTCAGAGTAGTGACCAAATATATTAGTCATTTAAATAAATATAAATAGGCTTAATGCACTTAATAAAAGGAAGAAGAATAAATTTGACACACAAAACAAATTTGAATTACATACTGTAAAAAGAGACACATCTGAATCAGAATGATTCAGATGAGAGTTTAAAATTAAAGAGATGAACAAGACATAGGCATCTAGATAGAGATAGAGATGGAAACATAGACAGAAACAGAGAGAAGGTATGGTAACCCTGATTCACTCTTCAATCTCCAAAGATGCCCAGAGATGCTAAAAATGAAACAGTTGTAATACTAAAAGGTACAATTCAAGTTGAAGATGTTTATATTTTTGTACCAAATAACACAGTAAAACCCATTATGAAGCAAAAGTTACAGAGAATGAGAGATGTGAAGATAGAAACACCATAATAACAGGATGATTTAATAAACTACTACATTACAAGGCAGATTGATTGGGCAAAAATAAATTCATTAGGAAATAGAAAAGTTAATTAACATAATCAATTAGATAGATTATATTCTTATATTTTGAGTGCTACACCCTGATGATAAGGATATGCCTTCTCCCCCAGTGCTTATGACACAATTACAAAATGATCATATGATTTGGTCACAAAGAAAACATCAGTACTTTCCTTAAAATCAAAATATAAACAACACTCTCTGACAACACCGTAATACAGCTAGAAACTATTACCAGAAACAAAAAGCAAACATCTTGTATTTGCCAGGGTTCTCCAGAGAAACAAGACCAGTAGAAGAAACACCCCTACCTCTGTTTCCAACACACACTCAGCGTCTTTGGGATATTGAATTTTAGATATATATCACAAAAGATAAAAGGTCACAACCAAAAGAGACAGAGAAGAAGAGGTATTTATGAACATTTTCAAGGAAAAATTTGTTTATTTTCTTGAGAAATGACTATATAGTTGGCATTTCTTATTATTTTAACAGTACTTTTATCAAATGTTTACCACTCACCTTTATTTAAACAGAGAATAAACAAGAAAGTTGCTTTGTTTATCAGGAAAGATGCAGAACAAATAATTTTTTTTTTTTTTTTTACCTCTGCTTACAGCGTGAATCTCTGGTGAACAGCCTGCTCCTTTCTAGAGTGAGCATGTTGCAGTAGCATAACTATCACTGGAGTAATTCTGACATTTGGTTGATAAGATTTGCATTAAAATATATTTACAGAAATTCTGTTTAGCTAATATATAGCTCTTCACAACCTTTATCAATTTCAAACACACTTGGTTTTCTCATGCATAAAACTTACTGAAATGTTTGCCAGGCGAAGCAATTCTAAATAGGAATGCAAATAGGTAAAGAATACTATAACTGATCAGTTCCCCGTAGAGCTGAGATAAAGCAAACAATCAAAGGTAAGATAAGAAATTCTTGTTTTATTCATCTACATTTATTTTACAGCAAGTGTCATATGCAAATATACACCATTAGCATCATCTTTCTTGCCACAGTGGTTTATATGTTTTTGTAGCTATTGCTTCCTTGGTATTTCATAATTTTATTCCTTAAGTTCCCAAGTAATAACTATAAAGAGTATTTCTCTCTCTGAAGTATATTATCTCTTCATTTGTAGCAGTGTTAAGACACGTGGATAATATTTTCTGTGCTAGAGGTCTTTTTTAACCAATTTATATTCATAAATATAGTATTGCATATCAATAGGCTATCTAGTTCTAGTTCATGTACAAAGTTTATATGTTATAACTGAAGTTGTGTATACTTTGCCATGTATTAAACTTGGAACATGTTTTGTCTTCAACTTAAGATATAAAATGAGTTTTAGGTATTAAGAAAGCAATTAAATATTTCTAGTATTAAGTATAGCCATTATATTTCTACATCTGAGTTATAGTAACAGAATAGACTAATTTTTGTTTTGATGAGTAAAATAAATTTAACATATTAAATTTGGAAAAAATTCACAGAACATTGGCATTGATTTTGCAATACATGCATGTAAATATACTTACATAGATTAAAACAACACTGTCAATATTGCCTTCTGGTTACTTAAAATTTGAAGTTAAATAGAAAAAAACTTGGGGCTACTTTTGTTAACTATGTACTCTGATGAAATAATAATTTTAAAGTGGTAAAACTCATCTTTTTCTCCAAATAATGAAACCCAAAGATTCAATATGTGAAGTTCAAAAGCAAAGTTACAAAAGCTTCTGCAAAATTTTCTTATTTCCTAATATAGAATCAATGTGTTGAGCTTGTCTTTTTTTTTTTTTTTTTTGAGACAGAGTCTCGCTCTGTCGCCCAGGCCAGACTGCGGACTGAAGTGGCGCAATCTCGGCTCACTGCAAGCTCCGCTTCCCGGGTTCACGCCATTCTCCTGCCTCAGCCTCCCGAGTAGCTGGGACTACAGGCGCCCGCCACCGTGCCCGGCTAATTTTTTTTTGTATTTTTAGTAGAGACGGGGTTTCACCTTGTTAGCCAGGATGGTCTCGATCTCCTGACCTCATGATCCACCCGCCTCGGCCTCCCAAAGTGCTGGGATTACAGGCGTGAGCCACCGCGCCCGGCCGAGCTTGTCTTAACAGAATGTTCTGCTTACCACATTATCATTCTAATCTCTAGAAATAATATCCCTCCTCTTAAACTTCAGCTACAATAATTATAGCTGTATTAGGCCTACAACTATGGATGTGGAGTTATATTATTTTCCCTCATTGTCTATATCTATATTACATCTACATATTCTTATTTTTGCTCAACTAATCTTACATAATTTTCCTAATAACCCAGTGATATAATACAATTTGGAAAATATGCTAACAATGAATCACTGCCTGCTCAGTCCTTGTAGGCTCAGGCTTACTATGTATAAATCTTACAGATTATTGGGTTGATGATAACAAGAATGATGCAGATCCTAGAGTGGTATTTCTAAACATTAAGTTGGCTAAGAATCATCCTCCTAAATTCTCAAAAGTGAGTTTTGGAGCGACTGGGGCAAGTACATTAACTACAAGGCTCTATCTACCACAAAGGCTATTCATCAATGATGACATTTTTAGGTAATGTGATAGGGTACTATTTGAAAACATGTCCTAGAGCAACTTATAGAATGTTCTTTTATGGCTTCCTTGATGTTTCTTCTCTAACAGGTTAACAGAAAACTTTGTCACAAGTTAGTTATAACCCATGACCTTAAGAATTGCAACTTAACTTTCCCTGTGAAGTTTCTTTGTGTTTGGCAGTAAAGGAAAAAAAAAAAAAATAGAGGATTCTTTGATCTTCCAAGCTCATTACACAGAAGAAGGTGTGCTATATGTCACTCCAATTTCACTCTCTCCTTTCTCCCTCTTTCTCTCTCTTTCTCATGAAATCTTAATGCCTTTTTTATGATGAGTTTTTGTAATGGTGTAGTTGCTTTTGATTCATTTAGAATGATAAAAAAAGTATGTATCAGTAAAGGCAAATTTAATTGAAGTTTAAAGTTAGCTTCAATTTGTAATTTTAATTAATATTTTGTAGGGGCAGAGCATGATGATTTATATAAAAAAGAATACAATTAATCATCTATATTGTTTGTGTGTCAAAACCAAAGCATATTATAAATTAACACTTTATATAAAAGATAAAAAGACATTGTGGGGCGAAAGAGGGCAAGAAGAGAGGGGAATTAATGTCTACTGTGTATGCATAAAATATCTCACTTAATTGAGCCAACTTCTCTTAGCTACAAATTTTGAATTTTTACAGATAAGAGAAATGGATATCTGAGAGTTTTTGTTAGTCCAAGCCATTCAGAAGCCAATAATTCTAATGCCTAAGTCTATGTCCCTGCTTTTTGGTTCCAATCTTTTTCCTTAATTTTATAGCATTAGGAGATATACTTGATGCTAAATGATGAGTTAATGGGTGCAGTACACCAACATGGCACATGTATACATATGTAACAAACCTGCACATTGTGCACATGTACCCTAAAACTTAAAGTATAATAATAATAAAATTAAAAAAATTTAAATATAATAAAATATATGGAATAAAGAACAGTGTGTTAAAAATGGCTTCCATGAACCAGCATTTATTTAAAGGTGGATGACTTTAACTCCCTCACTTTTTTCTCTTTGAAATCTAGGAAAAATATCCAACTTCTCTGTCTTCCTTGTCTTCAAAATGAGGTTGAGTATGAGAGTATTTACACACAACAGTGTTGTTGGGAGGAAGCATAATAATTCATTGAAATCGCTTAGCATAACTCCTGACACTTAAGGTTTTATTAGTGCCAGATATTAATGATATTCTCATTGTTACCATTTATTGTTATTATCATTATTACTATTATTAGAATGAATGTTTGACAAACTTGGCAAAAAGAGGAAAGCGAAAGAAAGATCTGGAATATATCTCCAATGGCTTTGGATCAGTTTCTCTCACCCTCATTTATTATTTCACTCACTCATAAGCTTCTTTTTTGCTTTATTCAGTTGACAAATATTTATTTAAAAACCATTTAGTATCACTCAATGTGCTACACACTAAAGAAACCTGAAGAAAATAGAGATTCTCTTTTTTTCAAAAGTCTTATTCTTCACTGAAAGATTACAAAAAAAAAGTTGTGTGAAATGTAATCTCAGAGTTAATCTCTAAATAGTACTGGGGAAGCTTAGAGCAAAGCCTGTAATCCAAAATGAAAGGTCTGGGGAAAGTCCCAGAAGTGATCAACTCTGAATTGGACTAAAATGTGAGCAGACAAGCACTAGTTGGAACAATAGATAAGGGTGATCTGAACAGAAGCATCAGAATGCTCAAATCCCCAAAGATGAGAGAAAGCCTGAGAATTGCTGAGAATGCTAAGTTGGGTCTGGCAGAATGAGTATGAGGCAAGCGGGGAATGAGGCTGTCCTGCTAAAGTGAGGCCTTTTAATGTGCAGAACATTTGCTAGAAAGTGCTCTTGGGATTAGCACCTGTGGAAAGGAAAAAAGAAGTAAGATTTGGTACAGGGGGATGTCAAGCTGCCACGCATTCCCAGTGAAAGCCCCAGCCAACCTCATGGAGGGTTCAGAGTTGATATTCCTTCAGAATTGTTCTGAGTTAGGAAGGGAGGCTGTGTCTTTCTGTTCCTCATTATCGTCCACTAGATGCAGGATGTCCTTGGAAGGAATTGTCACCTTGGCTGAGGGATCTAGATAGAGCACCACAGGTCCAATAAACTCATTCTAAGAAGTTACTGCTGGCCACTTAAACAATTTTTAATCAACGCAGTGATAATATGTGAATCTCGCACTTTCTTTTTGCTGTGTTCAGAATTTTGTGGAGGAGGACAATGCTTGCTTGCTGAGGGGAACATTCGACTGCACTTTGTGGTCACACATCCTTCACTATATATAAACCCACCTGTTCCTGACTATACAACTAAAAAAAAACCGTACCACCGTTTCTATCTCTTGCCTGTATTACCACGACTGCTCCTGAACAATTTCTCTTGCTTACACTCCTGTCTCTCTAAAAGCCCCTCCCCACGTAGCAGCCAGATTAGAGGTGTTGCACCACAAGTGACATAGTGCAGCACTCTTCATTAAACCCTTTCAATGGCTTCTCATTCTACTCAGAATAAAATCTAATCTTAGTGTCCTCTTTCCTAGCTCTTTATTTTTGATGAAATAAGGAACTTCTACTAATGTCTGCTCTTGAGCCAATTTGTTTCTTTTCCAAAAAAGATGTGTGAATTTAACAGATGCAGGGAATGTCCTAAAAGCAGGTGGGACAATTTGCATTTCATAAGAAAAATACCTTTTTTAGGTGAGTCTATTTGCCCCAGTTCTTTTTAGGATTGGCCTGTATGACAATGTTTCAAACGCTATATTAAAACAATGTCCAGAAGCTTACCAAATTTTTAATGATACTATTAATTTTGTGTAAAAATAAGAAAAGCATATTCAATCAATACTAATATCTTGTATTATTAACATCTCAATAAGGGAAATTTTATGAATTTTCCAGTTTCTGGTAAAAATGTAATGCAGGTTCATATTCACATAGCATGTCACAATTTGCAATCTAAAAAAAATTCTCCCGAAAATGAACTCTATTTAGAATTCTTCATGAGTGGCCTGAAATTTTTATATATTATTAGTACTTAGTGTCTTTCTGAAACTATGCAAACTATTCCACATCAATAAACTCATTTTTCTTGTACCTACCCTAGGAGGTAAATACTAAATTTATCCAGAATTCAGAAATTTAAGTAAAATAACAAGATTTCGCAGCTAATAAGTGACAAGGACAGGACTGAAATCCTGTCTGTGACTGGCAAGCTCATGGCTTTACTCATTAAGTAATTGGATATTACAGCTCATATTTCAGAAGTGCGAAGAGTGGCTCATCATATTGAACTTTGATAAACATTACTCTTCTTCCAATTTTTGCTTCAAGTGAAGCAATTTTAGTAGTAGTTCCTATAGTTCCTTCTATATGATATTTGTATGAAATGTTAGACTTCAAAAGTAATTTTAAGCAGTTTATGGCATTATTAAAACAAAAATCTGAAAAAAAGACTTAGATGCTATATTATGTTATTATACTTTACTTATTCACATTGAGGAAACAGGCTTGACTATGTCTACTGATGTGAGAATACAGAATTTTTCTTATTCTATAAATATAGTCAGAAATTTACATGGAAATGACTCATTAAAAATCAATACTGTAAGGGAGGTATTGATTTAAGACAAATAATACTTTGTTATTTATGAGTATTTTTGTATATAATGCAATCCAAAATTAGCCATCTTTAAGAATAGCATCATCCTGTATTTTATAGTTGAGTAATAGCATTTATGTCAGTTCAAATTTATAATAGGATAATTTTATGCAGATTTCTTTTAGATAATAAAACTGGCATTACATACCTCCAGTTTTATATTTCTAGGAAACTGATAAAATCCAAGCACTATTTCTACTTAAAATAACCTAGGATTAGAAGAAAAGGTAATAAAAAATTTGATGTATTTATTAAATAAATACATCATAAAAATACACATAAAATATATTCAACTTCTTGCATTTTTTATTAATCCAACAATTGGATAAGTTATATAAGAAGTGGCTTACTGCTTTATGTATGTAAATAAATTTAAATTCAGTGGGATTATGAAATTTATTGAGGGTCACAGTCTGATGCATTTTAAAGAGTTAATCTTTGGAATTAGTTAAATGTAGATTTGAATTCTGCTTCCATCATTTGCTAACTTTGTGACTTTTGGCAGCTTATTTAAATTTCCTGAACCTCAACTTTATTACTACCAAAACAGGATGATATCTATACTGGCAATTTATTAAAAAGGTTATAGCCGGGCATGATGGCTCATGCCTATAATCTGGGCAGTTTGGGAGGCTGAGGTAGGCAGATCCCTTGAGGCTGGGAGTTGGGAATCAGCCTTGCCAACATGGCAAAACCCTGTCTCTACTAAGAATACAAAAATTATGGTGATGCATACCTGTAATCCCAGCTGCTCAGGTGGCTGAGGCAGGAGAATCACTTAAACCTGGGAGCAGAGGTTGCAGCAAGCCGAGATCACGCCACTGCACTCCAGCCTGGGCTACAGAGAAGGACACTGTCTCAAAAAAAAAAAAAAAATACTAGTAACATATAGCAAGAATACTTGACATATAGTAGAAATGTGTTCATAATAAAGTCACATAATTCCTAAATGTGCAGAAGCAGGGAAAGAACTCAGGAATCCAGAACTTAAGTGTGCAGATTGTTTCACTAAGCATTTTTAAAGACACCGATTTCTCAAACTAACTACTTCTTTTACAGTAGCCATTGTGTAGATTTAGACAAACAAGTTTGGATTCATCAAAATACAGAGCTAGTTCAAAAACTAAACAACAAATGCTATATAGTAACGTAGTAAAGGAACTTCCTATTCTGAGAGTATTATGGTATTATGAGAACTTCTTTAACATCTTTGTATAAAATTTTACTTTTTTAATCTCACATATCTCAGTGTCTCTGTGGGACTATTTTTCAATAAAATTTAGCTGAGATTCTTGTACATATAAATATATTACGATTACACATGTTCCTTGAGTGTTAAATAAACAGAGATGTTAATTTTTATCTCACACTCCTGGAAAGAACCCTAATATATGTATTCCGCTTTTCAAAGTGTTCTTTGCCACGTCCACCTGTAATACAGTGAATCTTGTCTCACTGGCATTGATATGCCACATTTTAGTCATATTGACAGTGAAACTTAAAAAAAAAATGCTTTCAGCATAAAGAAAAATAGACCGGAATTATTTCAGTAAATTACTTACTTTTCCTCGACTTTCAAACATGAGTTTTCCACTTCTGATTTTTCCTATATTCAGATTAAAATTCAGCAACAATTTCCCTGGCATATTCGTTGTCACGCAGAAAATAAAAATTGCTCATACTTTCCTAAGGTACTCAGATCTTTGGTGACAAATTTTTGTGTGAATTACTCTGGCAGTAAATTTCCTAACACTGCTCTTTTGGTTGGTATAGGCTATTGAGCGCTGATGAAAGAAATTTTTTTCTTTAATTTTTTGCATGTTTTATTAATTATTCTATATTTCCTATATTCAGTGTTCTGAAAATATGCCCATAAAATTGATTTTATACACCTTAATCGATTATGTATTTATAAAATAAAAATTATGAAGCTGGATTTTGTAGATGGTAATGCTTTTAATACTTAAATGGTTTTCCCTGAAGTCTGCAATACCATTTTTAGAACTGATGTTTCTTCTAAACGTGTCAGCTATTAGAGTGTAGGACTTCTTAGTTTATTAGTAATACAAATGTTATGACTGATTTAGAAAAGCTTCCCTAATCACTGAAAGGTCTTTGAAAGCTCCAAAGTAATTATATCTTGTAATTATCAGAAAGTAAAGTTCCCAAATCATTCCGACAGTCAAGCATTTAGTTGCTCTGAGCCTGCGGCTATATGTGGATAAGATTAGTTGCTAATTATAGCAAGGGAAAATAATGAAGGTTAAATAAATGTTTCATTTTAACTTGCATATGGTATTTGAAATAAAGATGTTTTCAGCCCTTATGAAAGTATTTCAAGACATCTAGAGTATGGAGTGTGATTGCATTTTTAAAAACAATGGTAAAAAAGATAAATAGTGTTTCAAATATTTTATAAAATAAATAAATGTGCTGAACAGTTATGCTCTAATGAGTGATTTAGCATTATAATGCCAACTAATTTATTGAGTGGATTGAATTAAGAAAATGCATGGACAGGCAAAGAAATAAATGTTAGTATTTAATGAACAAATAATTATTACCATATTGTTGGTAAGACTGACTTGTATAATTTGTTTGTTTTTATTTTAAATGATCCACTTTTAAATTCCAATATTAGGAAAGCAATTATCCGGACCATTTTTCCCAAAATATCTTCCAATGAACATAGGTTCTGCTAATAAAAAGAACTAGTACATATCACAAAAGCATCAGATATATTTTGAAAATTCTTGGTTAAAAGAAATTTTGATGTTTATTAGCTGAAAGATTTATCTTGTCTTCTTCTATGCATTGTAACAGTTCATTTGGGGATTATATGATGCAGAATTTCTAAAATTTTCTTAATCAGAAATTTGCACTTCCCTAAAATACATGTTGTAATATGTTAATCTACATTTTATCCACTTATATTCTTTATTGTTCAAGCAAACAAATTAATCTACATGATAGTAATTTCCTCAAGTTTCCACTTATTCCATTTCTTTATGTTTTATAACGGCATTTCAAAATTATGAATTATGTTCTTTACAGCAACATTTCTGAAATTTGATATTGTTAAACTACTTTTACGAATCACTGAGTTTAAAAATGTGTGTAAGATTATCACAGATGTTATTATTAAATTAATATTTCAATTTAAATAATTATATCACATAAAATGCATGACATTTTGTAAACTTTAACCAGGTTACCTATTCAGGTTGATGAATAAAGATCATGAGGTGTTGGTCAGATTTCACCATCCATCAATGTTTTCTTGTAAATGTGTACAACCCCTAAATAGAACTAGAAGTAAAATAGGTCATTGAGAATGGCAGCCAGGATTGGAGTGAATCTATCAGATATTTGGGCATAATATATAACACTTGGAATCAGAAGTTATCATGTCTTTTCTTACTGAAGACTATTTCCTGTCTCCAAAACAGATACAAAGCTGATTAATTTCACTCAAAAGCTGGAATTTCAAATCTTTCAATTTGGTAGACAAAATTCGTGTTTCCAATCAGCTTCTCTTGCCTTGAGTTCTGGAAAGTGTTTCTTCATGATCTACTATAGTATTCGAGTTCATTTTAAGGTATACTTAATAATACTTCATCAGCTTCTTTCGCCAATGAGTGAAGACAATTACCATGTGTTAAGAAAGAATAAAACTGTTGGATATCTCTGCTTGGACCCCAGTTCAATCTTCTGACGATATTATCTTATTGTCTTACCACAACATTAAGAAATTGTGATCTTTCAGGACTGTGGGTTAGGGAAAATATGAATAATGAAAGTATCATTGAGATTTGTCACTCAAGAAACACTTGAAATCATTGAAATTGATTTAATGGCATTACTTATGTCGTGAAGAGATCTTTTTATCTCAATTCTCACTTTCAAATCTCCCATTGAATATCTAACAAAATTTAGTGGAAAACAGTAGTTAGCAGCAGAGAAGTATACTCATGGACCACATTTGTGCCCTGAATGCTAAAAAGATGTTTACTCAGTGATGAAGAATTCAATATATTTATGGCATTTATTATTTTTAAGATTAATTTCTTTTAATCTTAATTTTTTATTTAAGATTTAAAAAATGTCTTAAATTAGTGATGACCTCTTATTTTTTCCCTCTTAGAGTAAGTCCAGATTGGAATTTAGATAAAATTTCTCATTTTGTCATATAGAAATGACTCTTTTTTGGTTGTACACACAGAGCTGAAGAATCATCAGGAATGATATCAGTGCATTTTCTAGTCTATGTTATGACTTAAATCATTACCTAACAAAACATCTAATTTCCTGTTACATGTATTATTAGTGTAAGATAGAAAGTTGCCTAGCTATTCTCCCACATAAATAAATATAATATGTGCAATGAACTGATTCAATTCAGTAGATTACTTTTTCCAAATGTATAGCAAAGCATGTCAACATGTGGGATCATAACTGCTCTAATGCTTTATGGATCAGTGATACACAATGTAGAGTAGTCATTCCATATGGAATTCTGGATAAAACTTATTCCTCCTATTTCAGATCATAATATTTGCCATTGAATTCATAATGAGTTTTGTAATTTTACATTATGTGTGACTTCTTTCTGTTTTTATTGTTATACCAGAGTTGAAAGATGAATTTATATTTTTGTTATATTCTAAGTCTTTACTCACAAAATTTATCTATCTCACATTTTAAAACATTACCTTGAGGTTATTTTATTTTAAAAAGACTTGGTTTATCAAAAAATAATTCATATTATTTTTAGAAAATAAAATGAAAGCCGTCATGGCTTCATGTAATGATATGTCAGTATCACACAGGATTGGAGCTCCTTTTTTTTTTGGAATGTTGTGGCATCTGTGTGAATTGTAATGTTTGTGTAACTATTTACCTAAGTGCTTTTTTAAAGTTTATAGATCATTCTTTGGCCACTCCTCCACTCTTTAAATAGGAGAATAATTGTACTGACCATCTTCTCTTTATTTCCTACCCTACCCCAGATCCATTATTAGCTTTTTCCCTCTCTACTTTTTTGCCACTATAGAATTCATTATCTGAGCCACCTTGTTAATAGGATGTTGGTTGAGTCTAATCAATGAATGGCAGCAGAGATTAAAGGGTAGGAAGAGAGAGATCAGTATATTTTTTTCTGCCTTGTCTGGCATAAACTAGATTTGTTGGAACCCAAGGTCTAAGTTAATGGAAACGTTTTCACTTTGTCTTAACTCTCGCACAGCTCCACTGACACTATTTCCATGCTTTTCAGCTCCAAGAGTTGTTCCTACCTTCTCAAACTTCTAGTAATTGCATGTCTTATCTTCTTTGTTCTTTTGCTATGTCCACCATTTTGTAAGTAATCCCTCTTTTCAAAACGTATTCAACTCAATCATCTGAGTACTTTTATTAAAAAATTGCTGATATTTAGATTAATACAGTAGTTTAATAAATTTAAAGTATAAAAATATAAATGATAACACAGATGATGTACACATGGCATAAGTAATAAAATAAAATAAAATGGTTTAAACAAAAGACAAATAAGATCTCAGTGCATGTGTAGCCTCTTAAATGTAATAAATTTTATATATTTTATTAGAAAGCAATGGAATTCCCTTTAAAAATCATAATCATTAATTTTGTATTTAAGAATCAATTTCCATTAAAACAGATTTTGCTTATTTTTTAAAATTTTTATTGAAGAAAGAACCAAACTTCACAAAGACAAACGCTGTCCATCAAATACATAATAAGAAAGGTTATTTGATACTTTAAAAAATCATTTGAGAAAAAATATATAAATAAAAATAATAACCTGCAGCTTTGAGTGTAAACAAAGGGCTAATATTAGTTACACGGAATCATATAAATAAATAACACTCAAGGAAGTAAATAAATAGATGACAAAAAGGCAGTGCAACAAAATTCAATGTATTATTAAATATGGAATTAATCTTCGGGTATCAAATATTGATTAAACCAATATTTTAACCTTAAAAAATATTTATTCACAAATGAATACAAATTTAATGTTATATTTATAAGAATAATCTTTATTTTTAAAATTCAGTCTTTATTTTCATGTTAAATAAATTAATGGAATGCAGGAGCCACAGCTTAATATTTGGATATGTGAAGTCACCAAAATGACAGCTTTCTTTAAAATACATAACATAAACTTTGCTCTGAGAAGCAAAGATTTGTCCCAACACATCATTGGAGAACTTGGTTATCTCTTACAGAGCTCAAGTTAAAGGACAACCAGATAATAATACACTGAATTATAGCTCTATATATAGAAAGGATGTTTCTTCGTTGTAAAGCTTATGGCAGAGACAAAGAATTTTAGAAAGGTAAAAAAAGGTTATTCAAAATTCGTAGAAGAATGTATCACATATATTGAATGTTTTCATGTATTTCCTGCTCTACTCACAGTAGAGAGTCTTGACCAAAAGATTCAATTTGGCCAGTTGTAAATCCATGGGCAAGAAGTACCTTGTGAGAAAAAACACTGCATTCACTGTAGCTGAGAAACATTTTTAAAAATCATCTAACTGTAATATTCTCTTCCTCTATATAAAAGCATTGTTCTGATTATCCTTAGTACTTCCACAGAGAGAGGATAATAATCATTCATTTTCATTTCATAGTAATAAACAAACAATGAGTCTTCTCATTATGTTTAGTAATAAATAATATTGGGTCTCCACATGCTTGGTTTGTTAATAGAGCCCGGATCATGTGTATTTGTTTCCTAGGCTGCCATAACAAATTACTATAAATTTGGAGGCTTTTTGAAAAAAGACATGTATTCTCTCATGCTCAAACTGGAAGCCTGCAATTAAGGTATTGGCAGGCCCATGCTTTCTCCCTCCAAAGATTCTAGGGGAAATTCCTTTCCTACCTCTTTCAGCTTCTGGTGTCTCCTGGTGTTTTTTGATTTATGGCAGTGTATCGCCAATCTCTGCCTTCATCTTCTCATTGTCTTCTCTGTGTGCCATATCTCCTCTCCTTTCTTTTATAAAGACATCAGTCATGGATTTAAAGCCCATATTAAATGCAGTATGATCTCATGTCAAGATCCTTAACTTAATTATATCTGCAAAGACCTTTTTTCCCCAAATAAAATCTTAGTCACATGTCCAGAGTTAGGACTTAGACATAGCTTTTTGGAAGATACAATTCAATATACTGTATCATGTGAACAGCATGCATTTTCATTGCAAAGCAATAAATAACACCAGGTCGTCTTTGTGTTTGTATGGTTTTGGTAGGATAATTCATGTTTCCAAGGCCCCATTAATCTTGGACAGCTGAAAGAGTGAGTTTTAGGAAATACATTTCAAAATCCACAGGTTCTAGAAAGTTATCACTTGGGTTTCTTCATAATCTTTCTGTGTAGTTTCAGCTGAACTTTCCTTAAAAGCATACTTCCCGATTTTGAACTTCATATTCCAAATTCCTAGAGAAGGGATTTAAGAACATTGTGTTTATTTCAAATAAACATCTTTGGGGCTCTGTCAGCAGATGTCATTAATAGGAATAAAATTTTATCCCTGGAGTTACTAATTTTCTTATCTCTTACTTTTCCATTCAAATGCATTATGGAACTTATAAACAATAATTTGGCAGATTTTGCACCATGAAGTCTTTAAATCTACTTTTGTTGATAAATATGAGTGCTTTCTGAAAAACCAATCTGACACTTTATTAAAAATTTCTGGGAGTTTTTGAAAGAAAAAACAAAATTGATATGTAAAACATTGTCTGCAAGGAGACATATATATATATATATATATATATATATATATATATATACCCTCTGAAAGACTAGAAAATTGTTCTCCAAAACACCTCATCAGAAAATTAGATTATTGTCTTTTTAAGTGGAATTATTTCTTCAGTAAGGACCAAAAAAAATTCCTTAAGTCCTGTCAAGTCTCTATGTTTTCTTGTATCACACTTTAAATGCATTGGTCATTTATTCGGTTTTGAAATGCCATTATTATTTTTTAGTTACTGAAGCATCATATTTTTTTCCTTTTACAAAGCCTTTTTATCTACAAAAATATATTTTACATAAAAATCCTTTCTCTTTGTAATTTCTACTGTTATTGTATTCTCCTCAGTTTCCCCTTTTGGAATCCTTCCTTTATTCTAAGGTTACGGAATTTATTGGAAATTAGTTTTAATTATTTTTTAATGGCCCTTTATGGGATTTTTTATTCTTCCTGCTTTAGATTTTTTTTAAAGTCTACTACTTTAGATTTTTTAAAAAGTCTACTACTTTCTCTTACTTAATTTTTTTGGTCCCTTCCCAGAATAATAATAAAAATTAAAAGTAGAAGAATAAAAGCAGAACAACCATTATGACTATAAAGAATATATGTAAGCATTGGGATTTTACTTAGTGAGTTTTCCTTTTTCGTTGATTTGAAACAGAAAAATGCATGCTAGTAAAAAACAAAAAGAAAAATATGAAAAGGAAAAACTATGAAAATAACACAAATTTATATTTTTCTAATATTATTTCTGGTTGAATCGCTTTGTTTCCTGGGAAATTAAGGGCTTGGCGTGTAGCTGATATTAGAGACAAGATGAACTTATTACTACTTTGTGCCTGTAATAAATCAGTCTCAGGAAAAGGAGACAGGCATTTGCAGAACTTTTTCCTCATCAGGCAGGTCATCTCTTGTACTTACCACAAGGATAGGAGGATAGGGAAAGAGAAAAACACACAAAACACTTCTTGTGAACAAGTATCAGAGAGAGAATCCAAAAATGTGTGTATGTGGAAATACCTGTGTGCGCATATGGGGGTGCCTATACTCTGTGGGGAAAAAGAGCATTGTCATAGTATTTCTGTTGTGCAAAACTAAAACTAGTGAGTAGATTTTACAATAAGGTAGTTTTGGACAAAATAAAATACCTTTTTTTTTTTAAGTTAATTTTGAGTTGACTACCCTGTCTTTGGGATATTCCTTGAAATACTCAGACAGAGTCTGAATAACCATTTTCTTGACATAAAATAGAAAGAAGCTTCAAATTTGTGGCCTCCAGCCCATTTTAACTCTGAAACACACAAATGCAATGAGAATTTAGAAAATAAAAATCAATACATAAAATTAATTTGGAACAAATTTTATCAAAGATATGGATATGACATTGTTTGTCATTAAAACCTTTCCCTCAGCAAATGAATTGCTACCTTTGAAACTATTTTCTTTTTATTTTCCAATGTTATATTTATGTGGTATCTGTAAAGTCGGCTTGTAGTATGCTTATTATGATCTTTATTTTTATAATATAAAATTATATTACATAAAATTCTAGGAAGGATTAACATGATGGGTTATTAGCACCTAAGTTTTATCAGGAATTAGTAAAATGAGAATAAAATTATTACTACTGGGTTGGCTTAGAGTTCAGGTAAAAAGATCTTGAGGGAATATATTTCAATAAACTTTAACTGTCTCACATTTGGTTAATATCAGTGTAGTAGATGAGTATTACCTCTAGCAATTTTTCAGAATTAAACCAAAATATGTAACTATATGAATGTGGGTTAAAAATACCTATATTAATATTTAATTTGAAACTTGAACTGAGAAGAATGTTAAATATTTGACAAACAGATATCCATCACCTAAAATAATACTAACACTTTTTATATGCACAATATTTTGAAGTTTATAGGCAAATACATATTATCACTGACTGCAACACAGTTTCTGACATCAGATTCTTAACAGTCCTGTTTAAAAGATAAGGTAATTTGGAACACATAGACTGAGAAATTTTCCTGCAATATGCTTATTTTAGTGCCTCAAATCTGCTAGTTATTTTACTAAAATTCACCACTTCTTTATGTCTTAGGATATTTTTAAAATGTCACAAAGATGTAAAATAAAGACATGATTCCTGGCTTGGACTATATGGTTTGGAAAATAGACATGTACATAGTACAGACTATGTTATAAACAAATGGTTTTAGCATAGTATAGTTTTGAAGTGAAAAATCAATATTAGCAAAAATATGATGAGGACAGTGTTCTATATAGACAAAAGGAAAATGTATTAGTCAATAGTCAAGTACCCGTATCTAGTATATGTGAAGAATTTTAACATACCCACATATCGTGAGAATTCTTAACACCAAAATTCAAGAGGTTCTTTGAGATTTTGAAATGCAGCTAGGATAACAACGCATTGAAAAGAGAATTAAATAATTTGAAAATAAATAAAACAGATTTTGGAGGAAAGAGTATAAGAGAAACTGTGTGGACATTGTTTCAGCATGGGTCCAGCAAAAGCAGGACTAAAACCAGAAGATTACAGTTATAGGGAAGCATATTATAACCAAAAATAAGAATTTTCATAGAATTGAGCCTCACTCCCATTATGACAGTGTAAGTAGAAGCTGAATTATCATCTCTTGAGATTAAGTGCATGGAAGATTGAACTTGATTCCTTTCAGTCTTTCTTGATCCTAAGCACCTAAAAGTACAATTAATGGATATATTAATTAGATATTAGTAAGAAACCCGAAGTAAATATATTTTATTGCAATACCTATCACAGTTTGTCTATTCTTATACTCAATAAACACTTATTGAATAATATGTGCAGGTCACTGAGATTAAGACTACCAATATCTAATTTACGTAGCAGGATAAAAGAAATATAATGAAATCATTATAATATGTCATAAGTGCTTGTTGTAGAAAATATTAGTTGGTATTCACAGCCTTTCGCCTTTTCCTCCCCTGATTAAAACATCTAGAACTTGTGTGGTTGGTACAGGGAAAGTTTCCTTGATCTGGGAAGCTAAAACAGACTTCCAGCTCTAGGAGTGAGTCATTATAAAGATCACCCCATTTTCTTTTGCCAGACTCCTGTTTTCCCAGTTCCCCTTGCAGTTCAAGTTTGCCCTTTGACAAAATTCTAGCAAAGGAGAGGGAAGGGTCAGACTCATGGCCCCCAAAAAAGCTCCAATGTTGATAAAACATGGGAGAGTCACACAGATGAACGGCCCTGGTCGTTAGGGATCTGTCACTGATACAGACTGGAAGAAGGAGGGCAGGGTCCCCGGAGAGGGCTCCACCCTCAATACTGGACCCACCGCCCTAAATGAGAACAGGCATTCCTAATTTGCACCTGAATGTTGCTTTTTGGCTCACCCCACCCCCTTATCCCGTGCCCGTATAAACCTCAGACCTCAGCCAGCAGAGGGACAAGTGGCTGAACGTGGAGAGAAGTAACTGAGCATTGGAAACTGCGGAGAGATGCGGTTTAATGTCGGACGTCAGGACTTCAGAGGGGAGCCCAGCGGATATGGCCAGGCTTCAGGGGAAGATCTCCTTCTTCCCGCACCATCCCCTTTCCAGCTCTCCTTCTGCTGAGAGCCACTTCCACTGCTTAATGAAACCTCTGCATTCACCATCTTTCAAGTCCCTGTGACCTGATTCTTCCCGGATGCCAGGAAAGGGCCCAGATACCAAGAGGGCAGGGTGTAAAAAGCTATCACCCTGACTCTCCACTGAGCTGGTTAACACTTAGCCATCGTCGGACTGGCAACTGCTAAAATAGCATAAATTATAACACACCCCTAAATGCTACCATGGGGCCAGAGCCCCAAAGTACTCACTCTGGCCCTGGCACCCGCCTGCCTGTGTACTCCATCCCCTGCAAGGGGTTTGAGGACAGCGGCCAAGTAAGCAAACCACACCCCTTTTGCAGTCCTGCGAAGGGGTCCAGCGGATTCTCCGGTCTCATCGCCTCTTTACCTTGCTTCTTGTTTTTGAAAATAGTTCTGGTCAGGCACAGTGGCTTATGCCTATAAGCTCATCACTTTGGGAGGCAAAGGCAAGAGGATCGCTTGAGCTCAGGAGTTGGAGACCAGCCTGGCTAACATGGTGAAACCCCGTCTCTAAAAAAAATACAAAATTAGCTGGATGTGCTGGCGCATGCCTGTAGTCCCAGCTACCTTGGAAGGCTGAGGTGGGAGGATCACTTGAGATCAGGAGGTTGAGGCTATGGTGAGCCATGATTGCGATACTGCACTCCAGTCCCAGCGACAGGGAAAGACCATGTTAAAAAAATAAAATAAATAGAGTTCTGATGCCCAAAGATTTCACTGCTATTTTATAACCATGAGGCAGTAAGTATAAAAGCAAAAAGCCAAGAGTGGTGGCTCATAAAGTCAGAAAGAGCGTGGATCTTTGTTGACATTGTCAAGTTGCTGTTTAAAGTCTGAAATTACCTACCTCTGCACTTTTGTTTATGAAATTAATAAATATTTTTAGTTTGTCAGGTATTAGTTGCAGCTGGAATAATACTTAATTTATAAAATAATTGTGTGTGTATATGTTTGTGTGTGAGTATGTGTGCATGCAAGAACACATCTCTGGTAAAAAAATTTGGAAATACATGAGCGATATCAAAGATTACTGAATTTTGTATTATTAGCTGTTTTAGTGTGTGTTGTTGGGTGAGTGGGAAGGCCAGCAGGCTACAAGAAAACCTTTATGACATTATTAAGGCCTTCATTC